>NW_021160022.1:300000-493165 GCF_000001405.40 Homo sapiens | reverse complement strand
AAGCTTGCAGTGAGCCGAGATCGCGCCACTGCACTCCAGCCTGGGCAACAGAGCGAGACTCCGTCTCAAAAAAAAAAAAAATAGAAAAGAAAAGAAAGAAAGGAAAGAAAGAGAGAAAGGGAGGGAGGGGGAGAGAGAAAGAGAAAGAGAGAAAGAAAGAGAAGAAAGAAAGAAAAGAAAAGAGATCTTCACTGTGGTCTGGCTTCTGTTGCTAGTCGTTGTGTCTCCCTGGTTGAAATGTCCATCTTAGCATCCCGTTACTCTATCGGCATTCAACTCTGGTAGTCACTGGTGTGACATTATTGCGTAAATGTTCCTGGCCAACAGAGAAGAGGAAAATTTGTAGAAGGGAAGAAAGAATGGATGAGGGAGCATGGGTGGAAAATTTAAGGGTGGTCTGAGCTATACCCAGGAAGCCTGGGATCGGGAAAACCCAACTCTCAGTGCCCTTGGGGCTGAGAGCAACATAAGGTTTAGCAGCCTTAGTAATTTCTTTAAAATCTAAACTGGGGCCGGGGGCAGTGGCTCATGCCTGTAATCCCAGCACTTTGAGAGGCTGAGGTGGGTGGATCATCTGAGATCAGGAGTTCGAGACCAGCCTGGCCAATGTGGCGAAACTCCATCTCTACTAAAAATACAAAAATTAGCTGGGCATGGTGGCGGGCGCCTGTAATCCCAGCTACTTGGGAGGCTGAGGCAGGGATAATTGCTTGAACCCAGGAGATAGAGGTTGCAGTGAGCCGAGATGGTGCCACTACATTCCAGCCTGGGCAACAGAGCAAGACTCCATCTTAAAAAACAAAATCTAAATTGGACCAGGCATGTTGGCTCACACCTGCAATCCCAGCACTTTGGGAGGCCAAGGAGACCAGCCTGGACAACACAACAAGACCCCACCTCTACAAAAAACTTTAGAATTTGCCAGGCGTGGTGGCACATGCCTATAGTTCCACCTGCTTGGGAGGCTGAGGTGGGAGGATCGCTTGAGCCTAGGGAGGTCAAAACTGTAGTGAGCCATGATTGTGCCCCTACACGCTAGCCTGGGCAAGAGAGCGAGACCCTGATTCTATATTAATTCCTTGAGCCACTGTGATTTTGATTTTTGTCCCAGCAGCCAACAAAGAAAAAGGCTTCCTTCATTGACTTCTGTGGGGATTCAATGACGTCGTACACATAAAGCACTTAGCATATGCCTGGTACATGGTAGGTGCTCACTAAATGTTCATTATTCCCACCCCCCATTTTGGTTTTGGGAAGGAGATGCCTTTGGTCTCCAGACTGGCTTCTCAGGGGTATCCCTAAGGTGTATTAGGAAGTTAGGACATGTGGCTTCTATGCAGGTCATTCTCTATTCCTGTTACCTACCCCAGGTTCCATCAATCTGCAGTCCAATCCTGTTTTTTGGTGTTTTTTTTTTTTCTTTTTTTTGAGACAGAGTCTTGCTCTGTCTCCCAGGCTGGAGTGCAGTGGAGTGATCTCAGCTCACTGCAACCTCCGCCTCCCAGGTTCAAGCAATTCTCCTATCTCTGCCTCCCACAGTGCTGAGATTACAGGCATGAGCCACTGCGTCCGGCCAACCATCCTGTTCTATGTCCTGAGAGCTGACCTCTAGGCCCACACCACTGGGCTCCATTGCCCTCTGCTTTGGGGTTGGATTCAGCCAAAAGGAGGTACTGGTGGGAGGGAAAAAGCCTGGGCGTTCCCCTGCAGCTTCACCCCCTCAAGAGCAGATCTGCTTCTTCCAAAGGGAACCTCTTTTCTTTCTTCAGTCACATCCATTTTTTTTCTTTTTTTTTGAGACAGAGTCTCACTCCATCACCCAGGCTGGAGTGCAGTGGCGCGATCTCAGCTCACTGCAACCTCCACCTCCCGGGTTCAAGCAATTCTCCTGCCTCAGTCTCCTGAGCGGCTGGGACTATAGACAAGGCATGTGCTACCATGCCTGGCTAATTTTCTGTATTTTTAGTAGAGACGGTGTTTCATCCTGTTGGCCAGGCTAGTCTTGAACAGGACCTCACATGATCCACCCGCCTTGGCCTCCCAAAGTACTGGTGTGTCCAGAATCAGTGGGTTCTTGGTCTCACTGACTTCAAGAACGAAGCCGCAGACCCTTGCAGTATTACAGTTCTTAAAGGTGGTGTGTCGGGAGTTTGTTCCTTCTGATGTTCGGATGTGTTTGGAATTTCTTCTTTCTGGCGGGCTGGTGGTCCCGCTGGCTTCGGCAGTGAAGCTGCAGACCTTCACGGCGAGTGTTGCAGCTCTTAAGGCAGCACGTCTGTAGTTGTTCATTCCTCCCGGTGGGTTCCTGGTCTCACTGGCCTCAGGAGTGAAGCTGTAGACCTTCGCGGTGAGTGTCACAGCTCATAAACGCAATGCAGACCCAAAGAGTGTGCAGCAGTAAGATTTATTGCAAAGAGCAAAAGAACAAAACTTCCACACCATGGACGGGAATGGGAGCAGGTTGGCACTGCTAGCTCGGGCAGCCTGCTTTTATTCCCTTATCTGGCCCCACCCACATCCTGCTGATTGGTCCGTTTTACAGAGAGCTGATTGGTCCATTTTGACAGGGTGCCAATTAGTGCGTTTACAATCCCTGAGCTAGGCACAAAAGTTCTCCAAGTCCCCACTAGATTAGCCAGACACAGAGCACTGATTGGTGCATTTACAAACCTTGAGCTAGACAGAGAGTGCTGATTGGTGTATTTACAATCCCTTAGCTAGACACTAAAGGTTCTCCAAGTCCCCACCATATTAGCTAGATACAGAGTGCAAACCTTGAGCTAGACACAGAGTGCTGATTGGTGTATTTACAAATCTTGAGCTAGACACAGAGTGCTAATTGGTGCATTTACAAGCCTTGAGCTAGACAGAGTGCTGATTGGTATATTTACAATCCCTTAGCTAGACATAAAGGTTCTCCAAGTCCCACTGGACTCAGGAGTCCAGCTGGCTTCACATAGTGGATCCCGCACCAGGGCAGCAGGTGGAGCTGCCTGCCAGTCCCGCGCTGTGCGCCCGCACTTCTCAGCTCTTGGGTGGTCGGTGGGACCCGGCGCCGCGGAGCAGGGGGCGGCGCTGGTAGGGGAGGCTCAGGCCGCACAAGAGGCCATGGCGTTGGGGGAAGGCTCAAGCATGGCAGGCTGCAGATCCCGAGCCCTGCCCGGCGGGGAGGTAGCTGAGGCCCAGCGAGAATTCGAGCACAGCGCCGGGACCCGGCGAACCCTCCGCAGCTGCTGGCCCGGGTGCCAAGCCCCTCACTGCCCAGGGCCGGCAGCGCCAGCCTGCTGCTCCGAGTGCGGGGCCACGGAGCCCACACCCACCTGGAACTCACGCTGGCCTGCAAGTGCAGCGGGCAGCCCTGGTTTCCACCAGTCCGCACCTCCCCACAAGCTGAGGGAGCTGGCTCCGGCCTCAGCCAACCCAGAGAGGGGTTCCCACATTGCAGCCGCAGGCTGAAGGGCCCCTCAAGCGCGGCTAGAGTGGGCGCCTGAGGCCCAGGAGGCGCCGAGAGCGAGCGAGGGCTGCGAGGGCTGCCAGCACACTGTCACCTCTCACTGGGATTACAGGCTTGAGCCACCATGGCCGGCGGACATCCTCTTCTTAAATGCCCCTCCACTAAACCCTTTGAGGCCACCCCACGTGCTTCCCTCCAGCCCCAAACCCGCCAGCAACCCCAGGCACAGGGCCTGGCCCGGTTTCTTGCAAAACTTTCTGAACCCGCTCTGACTACTAAGTGGTTAAAAATATCCACTCCACCCAGGCAATTTTGCTAAGCTTATGTCAGGGGGAGAAAGGGAGACTCCGGAGAGCTCACAAATGAAGCAAATTGCTGAAAATCGGATTTTTACTGTCTTATCTCGGAGCCACATGAGAGGAGAGGAGATTGCAATTTCTGCGGGAACTTTCTCACATCCCCGAGTTTGAAGAGAGCAAGTGGCAGGGGAGGAGGTGCAGAGAGAAGGCTGGGAGAGGGAACCAGAAGAGAAGAGAGAGGTGTGAGAAGGAAAAAGCAAGTAGAGGCTGGGAGCGGTGGCTCACGCCTGTAATCCCAGCACTTTGGGAGGCTGAGGTGGGCGGATCACTTGAGGTCAGGAGTTCAAGACCAGCCTGACCAACATGGTGAAACCCTGTCTCTACTAAAAATACAAAAATTAGCTGGGTATGATTGCGTGCGCCTGTAGTCCCAACTACTTGGGAGGCTGAGGTGGGAGAATCGTTTGAACATGGGAGGCAGAGGTTGCAATGAGCCAAGATCACACCACTGCACTCCAGTCTGAGTGACAGAATGAGACTCTCTCTCAAAAAAAAAAAAAAAAAAAAAGCAAGAAGACAGAGGGGGAGGAAAGAATACACAAGAGAAAAGGAAAACAGCCACGTGAGACATTAAGGCAGAACTGAGAAAGGTAGCTGGGTGCAGTGGCTCATGCTTATAATCCCAGCACTTTGGGAGGCTGAGGAGGGAGGATTGCTTGAGGCCAGGAGTTCGAGACCAGCCTGACCAACATGGCAAGACCCCATTTCCACTAAAAAGAAAGAAAAGGGCCAGACACAGTGGCTCACACCTGTAATCCCAGCACTTTGGGAGGTTGAGGCAGCCAGATCACCTGAGGTCAGTATTACATGCGTCCATATGACGAGACCACCAAACAGGCTTTCTGTAAGCAATAAAGCTTTTTAATCACCTGGGTGCAGGCGGACTGAGTCCAAAAAAGGAGTCAGCAAAGGGGTGGGGCAGTTTTATAGGATTTGGGTAGGTAGTGGAAAATTACAGTTAAACGGGGTTTTCTCTTGTGGGCAGGGGCGGGGGTCACAAGGTGCTCGGTGGGGAGCTCCTGAGACTCATTGTCCAGGAGAAGGAATGTCACAAAGTCAATTGATCAGTTAGGGTGGGGCAGGAACAAATCACAATGGTGGAATGTCATCCACCATTAGCCAGTTAAGGCAGGAATTGACTATTTCACTTTTTTTGTGGTTCTTCAGTTGCTTCAGGCCGTCTGGATGTATACGTGCAGGTCACAGGGGTTATGATGGCTTAGCTTGGGCTCAGAGTCCTGACAGTAAGGAGTTTCAGACCAGCCTGGCTAACATGGTGAAACCCTGTCTCTACTAAAAGTACAAAAATTAACCGGGCTTGGTGGCAGGCACCTGTTATCCCAGCTACTCAGGAGGCTGAGGCAGGAGAATAGCTTGAACCCGGGAGGTGAAGGTTGCAGTGAGCTGAGAACACACTACTGCACTCCAGCCTGGGCAACACAGTGAGACTCTGTCTCAAAAAAAAAAAAAAAAGAAAGAAAGAAAAGGGCTGGGCGCAGTAGCTTACACCTGTATTCCCAGCACTTTGGGAGGCCAAGGTGGGCGGATCACCTGAGGTTAGGAGTTCGAGACCAGCCTGGTCAACATGTCAAAACCCTATCTCTACTAAGAGTACAAAAATTAGCTGAGCGTGGTGGTGGGCGCTTGTAATCCCAGCTACTCAGGAGGCTGAGGCAGGAGAACAGCTTGAATCCAGGAGGCAGACGTTGCAGTGAGCCAAGATCACGAAACTGCACTCCAGCCTGGGTGATAAGAGCGAGACTCTTTCTCAGAAAAAAGGAAAAGGAAGGGAGGGAGGGAGGGAAGGGAAGGGAAGGAGAGAGGGGGAAGAAAGAGAAAAAGAAAGAGAGAAAGAAAAGAAAGAAAGAGAAAGAGAAAAAAGAAAAGAGAGAGAAAAGAAAGGAAAGATGTGGGGATTACTGGGGGGTTTTGGATCCTGTGACTCCAGCCAAAAGCACCTGCAGGAGCTGTCCCACTTTCAAAGTCCCTTGGCCCATGACATGCAATTTTAATTGCAGAGCAAGCTCGTGCAGTTAAGTAGGGGCCTCTCACCCCATTTTACAGAGGACAAAATGGAGCCTTAGAGAAAGAACACTGACATGTTTGACTGTGTCTCCACCCAAATCGCATCTAGAATTGTAATCCCCACGTGTCGAGGGGAGGGACCTGGTGGGAGGAGATTGGATCACGGGAGCATTTCCCCCTTGCTATTCTCGTGACAATGAGTTCTCACCAGATCTGGTTGTTTGATAAGCGTCTGGCACTTCCTCTCTCTCTCTCTCTCTCTCTCTCTCTCTCTCTCTCTCTCTCTCTCTCTCTCTCTCTCTCCTCTCTCTCTCTCTCTCTCTCTCTCTCTCTCTCCCCTGCCTCCATGTACGATGTGCCTTGCTTTCCCTTCACTTTTTGTCATGATTGTAAGTTTCCTGAGGCCCCATCAGCCATGCGGAACTGTGAGTCAATTAAACCTTTTTTCTTCATAAATTACTCACTCTCACATAGTTCTTTATAGCGGTGTGAAAACAGACTAATACAGACATGTTTGCTCCAAGATCCTAGAACTAACTTATTCATTGTGGGAATGACCAAATGAAGTCAAGAGCAGAGGATGGAAAACTTTTTCCATCAAGGATCAGAATCTAAATATTTCTGTCTTTGCAGGCCACATGTTCTCGCTCTCTTTTTTTTTTTTTTTTTTTTTTGAGACGGAGTGTCACTCTTGTCACCCAGGCTGGAGTGCAATGGTGTGATCTCAGCTCACTTGCAACCTCTGCCTCCCAGGCTCAAGTGATCCTCCCGCCTCAGCCTCCAAAGTAGCTGGGATTACAGGCATGTGCCACCACACCCTGCTAATTTTTTGTATTTTTAGTAGAGATGGGCTTTCACCGTGTTGCCCAGGCTGGTCTCGAACTCCTGAGCTCAAGCGATCCGCCTGCCTTGGCCTCCCAAAGTACTGGGATTACAGGTGTGAGCCACCACGACGATCTGATGCTCCTCATTTATAGAATCCACCCTGTAACCCTCCTGGCAACAGAATCTTAGACAAGGAGTAGTTGCCAGAATTCCAGCCCCTGAAATACACAGGAAAACAAGATGTAGATAGGCTAACAGATAATCCAACACATTCAAAAAGGTGACAAATGGCAGTGTTGGCCACAGGGTTCGAAACATGCTAGAAGGAGGAATTGGAAGTGTTTTGGGCCATGGTGGAAATCCAACTCCATTCCAGATGTCCAACACAGCTTCCTTGTTCCATGAGGTCATTGCCTCCCAGTGTCTCTTTGGTTGCGTTCCTCCCCACAAAGCAATAAAAGTTGGATGACAAAGTTGAGCCCTGGTGAATGAAGGGGATATTAAAAATAAAGAATGGAGAATTGTTGGTAATAAAAGGAAATGAGCAGGACGGGGCGCTGCGGCTCACGCCTGTAATCCCAGCACTTTGAGAGGCTGAGGCAGGAGGATTGCTTGAGCCCAGGAGTTTTGAGACCAGCCTGGGCAACATAGTGAGACCCCCATCTCTACAAGCAGTAAAAAAAAAAAAATATTAGCCAGGCATGGTGGTGTGCACCTGTGGTCCCGGCTACTCTGGAGGCCGAGGATGGCTTGAGCCCAAGAGTTTGAGGCTGCAGTGAGCTATGATTGCCCCACTGCATTCCAGCCTGGAGGACAGTGAAATCTCATCTCAGAAAAAAAAAGAATAGCCAAGCATGGCGGCTCACACCTGTAATCCTAGCATTTTGGGAGGCCGAGGTGGGCATATCACCTGAGGTCAGGAGTTTGAGACTAGCCTGGCCAAAATGGTCAAACCCCGTCTCTACTGAAATACAAACAAATTAGCGGGGCGTAGTGGCACATTCCTGTAGTCCCAGCTACTCGGGAGGCTGAGGCAGGAGAATCGCTTGAATCCTGGAGGCGGAGGTTGCAGTGAACCGAGATTGCGCCACTGCACTCTAGCCTAGGTGACAAAGCGAGGCTCCATCTCAAAAAAAAAGAGAGAGAGAACGTGATGATTCTGTGATCTCTAATGAACAGAAATGAGCTGACTCCTTGAGCTGCCAGGGATGTACTAGGCATTGATTTCCAGCCTCTATGGCTGCAAGCTATGAACCCTTCATGACCTCACCTAGGTTTGTATGCAAACTGGGCCTCTGTTGTGAAACTGAGGTCAGGGTGATGGGGGTTCAGATACTTCCAAGTCACCACCACAGAAGCGGCAAACACAATAGTTGTCAATGCTTTTGGACACGCCTCCATCTGTCTCCTGCCCAGAGGAGAAAATTATCTGGGCATGGTGGCATGTGCCTGTTTCACCAGCTATGAAGTGGAGATACAATATGTAATAGTCAGATAACCTAAGTTATGCTACGTAACAAACGATCCCATACAAGGCCAGATTGTTGAACTGAAAGAGGCTGTATTTCCAGATTCAGGACATGCTGCCTGCCAATAATTTGGGAAGTAGGGCTATAAAACACACTTGATTATGGGAGGGCAGTCCTGGTTCTGTAGCAGGTCAGGGTGGTGGGGGTAGATATTTGCAAGTCCCCACTGCAGAGGCAGCAAACACACAGATGTTAATGCTTTCGCACACACCCCCATCTGTCTCTTGCTCAGAGCCCAGCTAGGAGACAGCACAGCTCCAAACCCACCCTCTCCCTGGGTCCAATCTCCTAATCTGGAAAACTCTCTTCTTTCCTTCCCTCTCCCCTGCCCCCACATTCCTTCAGAGCTGGAGGTTAATAAACTCATCACTGCTGAGCAGGGAACACGTCTGCAGAGGTTTTAATTACAGCAGAAAATTGGTCCAATTGGTATTTAATGTAGAATAAGTGTCGCGTTAACTGGTCAGGGCGGGAGGAGTGGAGGTTTGCCTGTAAGTGTCCTGAGCCCTGTCTGGCTGGTCCTCCCTGGGAGCTTCTGAGTGCAGAGGGGACTCAGAGACCCCGGGAAGTGACAGGAGGCAGCCCAAGGGATGAAGAGGTGAGAAGACATTTCTGAAACCTCAGCTCCGGGCTCTCCTCAGGACCCAGGAGTCTAATGGCTCAGCTCTCTGGCTTGAGGATTTTTCTCCCTGTAGCAAACAATTGTTCTCCAGCCCTTAGGAGGAAGTGTTAGGGCTCATGTGATCAGAGTGTAGGCAGAGCAGGGGATTGGCAAGGAGATCAGAGGGGATTGGAGGTGTAAGGCTGAAGGAACTAAAGGGTCCAGGTGGGTGTTAGAGGGAGGAGGATGTTACTCAATCCTCTTGTCCAGCCTCCTAGATCTCCCCCAGGGGAGATGCTAGAGAGAAACCAACCAAGAGAGCCAGTGCTCAAGAGGGAAAGAAACAAGAAGCCAAAAATGATCAGGGGTGGCAGGGCGAGATGGCTCATGCCTGTAATCCCAGCACTTTGGGAGGCTGAGGCAGGTGGATCAACTGAGGTCAGGAATTCGAGACCAGCCTGGCTAACATGGTGAAGCCCTGTCTTGGCCGGGCATGGTGGCTCACACCTGTAATCCCAGCACTTTGGGAGCCTGAGGCAGGCGGATCACGAGGTCGAGACCATCCTGGCTAACACGGTGAAACCCCGTCTCTACTAAAAATAGAAAAAAAAAATTAGCTGGGCGTGGTAGCGGACGCCTGTAGTCCCAGCTACTTAGGAGGCTGAGGCAGGAGAATGGCGTGAACCTGGGAGTTGGAGCTTGCAGTGAGCCAAGATCGTGCCACTGCACTCCAGCCTGGGTGACAGAGCGAGACTCCGTCTCACAAAAAAAGAAAAAAAGAAAAGAAAAAAGAAACCCCATCTCTACTAAAAATACAAAAATTAGCCAGGCGTGGTGGCTCATGCCTATAGTCCCAGCTACTCAGGAGCCTGAGGCAGGAGAATTGCTGGAACCCAGGAGGTGGATGGAGGTTGCAGTGAGCTGAGATCACGCCACTGCACTCCAGCCTGGGCCACAGGGCGAGAAACCATCTCAAAAAAAAAAAAAAATTATCAGAGGCAACAGGACAGCAAAGGCCAACCTCATCCAGAATCTGTTGCAGTTTGTGAATTTTCCATATGTTTAGGGACCCCCCCCGCCACCGAAGATAACAGTTTAGAAACAACAGCAGACCAGGCCTGGTGGCTCATGCCTGTAATCCTAACACTTTGGGAGGCTGAGGCTGGAGGATCGCTTGAGGCCAGGAGTTTGAGACCAGCCTGGGCAACATAGTGAGACTTAGTTTCTACAAAAAAAAAAAAAAAAAAAGAAAGCCAGGGGTGGTGGTGCATGCCTGTAGTCCTAGCTACTTCAGAGGGTGAGGTGAGAGGAATTGCTTGAACCCGGAAGTCTGAGGCCGCAGTGAGCCATGATCACACCACTGCACTCCAGCCTCAGTGATAGAGCAAGACTCTGTCTCTAAAAATAAAAAAAAAGGTTTGAGGCTGCAGTGAGCTGTGATAATACCACTGCACTCCAGCCTGAGTGATAGAGCAAGACTCTGTCTCTAAAAATAGAAAAAGAGGTTGGGTGTAGTGGCTCATGCCTGTAATCCCAGCACTTTGTGAGGCTGAGGTATGTAGATCACCTGAGATCAGGAGTTTGAGACCAGCCTGGCCAACATGGTGAAACCCCATCTACTAAAAATACAAAAATTAGCCGGGCATGATCTCCGCCTGTAATCCCAGCTACTTGGGAGGCTGAGGCAAGAGAATCATTTGAACCCGAGAGGCAGAGGCTCCAGTGAGCCAAGATCGTGCCACTGCACTCCAGCCTGGGTGACAGAGTGAGACTCCTCAAAAAAAAAAAAAAAAAAAAAAAAAGCCGGGGCCGGGCACGGTGGCTAACGCCTGTAATCCCAGCACTTTGGGAGGCCGAGGCGGGCAGATTACCTGAGCTCAAGAGTTCGTGACCAGCCTGGGTAACACGGTGAAACCCCGTCTCTACTAAAATACAAAAAAAAAAAAAAAAAAAAAAAAAAAAGCCAGGCGTAGCTTCGTGCACCTGTAGTCCCAGCTACTCAGGAGTCTGAGGCTGGAGAATTGCTTGAACCTGAGAGGCGGAGGTCGCAGTGAGCCAAGATCGTGCCACTGCACTCCAGCCTGGCCGACAGAGTGAGACTCCGTCTCAAAAAAAAAAAAAAAAAAAAAAAAAAAGCCAGGCATGGTGGCTCATGCCTGTAATCCCAGCACTTTGGGAGGCCGAGGTGGGAGGATCACCTGAGTTCGGGAGTTTGAGACCAGCCTGACCAACATGGAGAAATCCCATCTCTACTAAAAATACAAAATGAGCTGGGCGTGGTGGCACATGCCTGTAATCCCAGCTACTGGGGAGGCTGAGGCAGGAGAATCGCTTGAACCTGGGAGGCAAAGGTTGCGGTGAGCTGAGATCGCGCCATTACACTCCAGCCTGGGCAACAAGAGTGAAACTCCGCCAAGAAAGGAAGAAAGAGAGAAAGAGAGAGAGAGAGAGAAAAAGAGAGAGAGAGAGAAACAGAGAAAGAGAAAAAAAGAAAAAGAAAGAAAAGGAAAGAAAGAGAAAGAAAGAAAGAAGGAAAGAAAGAAAAAGAAAGCAAGCAAGCAGAGACTTTAGAGTCAGACTGTCCGGATTCTAACCTTGACTCTATCACTTTGTCACTTACTAGCTGGGTGACCAAGAACAGTGATTAACCTGTCTATGCCTCAGTTTCTTCACCTGTAAAAAGGGGTGTGTAATTTGTAATGGTTAGGATAGGCTAGGTCATGCTGCAGAAACAAACTAGCCCAAGAACCTTAAAACTACAACGTTTATTCCTCACCCAGGCTTCATGTCCATTTTGGGTCGTTGCAAGGAGGTTCTGCTCATCATAGTCTCCGATGGAACAGCCACATTCTGGAACATTATGAAACATTGCTTGCTGTCACGCTGGAAGGAAGTAAGAGCTTTGGGGGATCTCACACAGGCAATTAAATGCTGTAGTTTGGGAATAATGCCTGTCAATTTCACTCACAGCTCATTGGTTAGAGCTAGTCACATGACCTCATCCAACACAAGGTGGGCATGAAGTGCAGCTACTGTAACCAAAATGTGGGTTAGTCACTTGCCAGCTTGCGAAGTCCAATTAACGAGAGCTAGGTCTGGTCTAAAGAAAGTGATTTATTCCAAAACTAGCTTAGGGGAAGAAGCACAGGCGTCCCACCTTCAAACATACTGCTTCCGTTTTGGAGCAGAAAGCCAGCACTTTAAAAGGCAGGGGAAAAAGTAGGGTGGGGGGCGCATGTTAGCTCTGGTGCCTTATCTACTGGGCGGTTGAGCTAGGGGCTGCTGGCACCTTTGTGGACAGGACTAGGCCAAAATCTCCCCAGGTGGGAGTTTTTCGAGGTAGTCTCCCGATGGAGGGAGTTTCGTAGATTTGGCTGTTACCTCTTGAGGCAACCTCCTGATGGGTGAGAGTTCTGCAGCAGGCATGCTTTGGTCTCTAAATCAACTGTCAACTCTTGAGGAGTTTAATGAACTTGCCCTGTAGGGAGTGTCTGGTGAATCAAGGGGGCGTTGGGGGAGGAAGGAGTAAAAGGTTATATTTGGGGTTTTTTGTTCGTTTTTGTTTGTTCGTTTGTTTGTTTCTTTTTTTGAGACAAAACCTCGCTCTGTAGCCCAGGCTAGAGTGCGGTGACGTGATGTCGGCTCACTGCAACCTCCGCCTCCCGGGTTCAAGCGATTCTCCTGCCTCAGCCTCCCGAATGGCTGGAATTACAGGCGCGTGCCACTGTGAGACGGGGTTTCACCATGTTGGCCAGGCTGGTCGTGAACTCCCGACCTCAGGTAATTTTCCCACCTCGGCCTCCCAAAATGCTAGGATTACAGGAGTGAGCTACCACGCCCGGCCTATATTTGTATTTCTAAAGGGCTGAGTAGGAAGTGGGGAACCAGGGAATGACAAAAGAGGAGAGAGAGAGAAAAAATAAACCATATCTTAGAAAAATGGGGGTGGCTGTTTGCAGTGGCTCATGCCTGTAATCCTACCACTTTGGGAGGCTGAGGAAAGTAGAAGGCTTGAGCTCAGGAGTTCAAGACCAGCGTGGGCAACATAATGAGACCCTATCGCTACAAAAAATTAGCCGGGCATGATGGAACACGCCTGTAGTCCCAGCTACTTAGGAGGCTGAGGTGGGAGGATCACCTGAGCCTGGGTGATAGAGGCTGCACTGAAGTGAACCATGATCATGATTGTGCCACTGCACTTCAGCCTGGGTGACAGAGTGAGACCCTGTTTCAAAAAAAAAAAAAAGAAAGAAAAGAAAAAGAGAAGTGGGGGTACTCAATTATACTATCTTGCTCACAGGAAAGGCAAGAGCAGGAAATATCTGGCCAACAGAACGAATGGCGTCCAACTAACAGCATCTTGTGAAAATAAAATGAGTTAATGAAAGTTAACTCACTTAAGACAGCACCTGGTATATAGTGAGTGCTCTTTATGTGGTTCCCAATTTTGTGTTTCATCAAGAAAGGTGATCTCACTCAGGTACCTGATGCCTCTCTGACACTGGGTGAGCAAGACCAAGATGGATCAGTGGCTGAAAGCCTGAAAGATATATGCCATGTGTACACCAAGTGTGTGCCAGGCATAGACCAGGTGTGCACCAGGAATGTGGCAGGTGTGTGCCAGGTGTACACCAGCTGTGCACCAGGAATGTGGCAGGCGTGTGCCAGGTGTACACCAGGTGTACATCAGGAATGTGGCAGGCGTGTGCCAGGTATACTCCAGGTGTGCACCAGGAATGTGGCAGGTGTGTGCTAGGTATACGCTAGGTGTGCACCAGGAATGTGGCAGGTGTGTGCCAGGTATACTCCCGGTGTGCACCAGGAATGTGGCAGGCATGTGCCACGTATATGCCAGGTGTGCACCAGGTATGTGCTGTGTGCCAGGTATACACCAGGTGTGCACCAGGAATGTGCAACCACTGAGGCACAGGTCAGGGCACACTGGTGCCTGGTTCTGATCTCTGACCACACTCATGTCTGGTCATAGCGCTCCATCACACATTCCTAGGGAAATATAAACTGAAGACCCAGATCCTTTACTTAGACCTTTTACCACTGGGCCAATAGACACCCACTTCTTCCCCACCCAGAGACCCCCTGGGCATCCACATCCGCTGGGCAAGAGCAGGTATTCATGTCAGTTTTGGTCTACAGCCTGGGAGCTCTAAAAGGTAGGAGCCGGCAACCTCCCCAACCCACCAGCCCGGATCCCTACAGCTGTCCCACCCACCCCTGTCCTTCCTCCTCCTCTCTTGGCCAGGAGGAGCACTCATTCTGAACCAGGCCCTTTTAGTCATTCAGTTCCTGACCCAGAGCAGCTGAGAAGTCAGAGGCGAGGAGAGAGCTCCAAGAAGCAAAGTCACTCACTCAGGATCTCCCAGTGCTGGGTGGTGGAGGCAGGATTCGAACCTAGGCTGCTCTGTCTTCCAAGTTTTTGTTTCTTATTTTATTTTATATTTTATTGTTATTATTATTATTTTGAGAAAGGGTCTCACTCTGTTGCCCGGGCTGGAGTGCAGTGGCACGATCATAGCTCACTGCAGACTCAAAACTCCTGGGCTCAAGTGATCCTACTACCTCAGCTCCCCGAGTAGCTGGGACTAGGGGTGTGCCACCATACCTGCCTTTTTTTTTTTTTTTTTTTTTGTAGAGACAGGGTCTCACTATGTTGCCCAGGCTGGTCTCAAACTCCTGGACTCAAGCAATCCTGCCTCAGCCTCCCAAAAGTGCTGAGATTACAGGTATGAGCCACTCATGCTCAGCCTGCCACAGCCTGGGCAACATAGTGAGACCCCTTCTCTACCGAGAAAGAAAACAAAATTTAGCATAGCGTGGTGGCATGCACCTGTAGTCCCAGCTACTCAGGAGGCCAAGGTGGGAGGCTCACCTGAGCCTAGGACTTCAAGGCTGCAGTGAGCTATGATCACGCCACCGCACTCCAGCCTGGGCAACAGAGCAAGGCCTGGTTTCAAAAAAAATAAACAAACAAAAATTGTAAAAACATTTTTAAAAATGTCAGCAGGCCGTCTATTTGATACTGCCTCTGTTTCCCCCATTAAGCCCCCGCATTTCCCGCGAATTCCTCCCAGACCCGGCCCAGCAGAACACCCCGCCTCGCCCCCGCTCCTCCCACCATCCAACCAGAGCTCACTTCAAAGGTGGGAACGGAGGCCAGCCAGGCACCCAGAGAGCCCCCTGAACAACCGACATCGCCCGGGGCCCGAAAAGCGCTGGCAACTCGGGTTAAAGCCGTGCGCCCTCGGAGGACGCATCCTAATCACCTCGGCAAAGAGCCGAGCCAGGCCGGGGGCCAGGGGCTCCACTCCCTCCAGCGGCGCTGGTTTCTTTAAGGAAAGGAGAACAGCAAGTCAGGGCGGCTCCCCAGCTCCCAAATCCTCCTTCCCCTGATGGGGACCAAGGGAGGCCAGGGCTGGCCGAGGGGGAAGTGGGGGCCGTCTACCTGGATTCTGGAGCCACAAGAAGTGGATTCCAAGATCGGGGATTGGGAGGGGCAAAAACGAGCGGTGTCCTCGCCCACAGGTGGGTAGGTGTTGGGAGTCCCGAGATGCTTGTGGGTGGGGGGGGAACCCACCATCCCTTCTCTGTTTTAGGGGGGCCCTAGAGGTCTCCCAATGCGCTCCAGTTTTCCAGCCCTCATTCGCTGCGAGCTAAACCCAGCCCGGGGGCCTCCCTGCCCGGAAAGGGCAGGAACCGAGAGTTAAGCAGGATTTAGAGGCCCGCCCGCCTGCGGAGAGATTAGATGCGATCAATAAACAGAGGGCTGGGCAAAGATCCCCTCGGAGGGGCTCCTTAAGACCGTGACCCTGAGAAGTAATTAACAAGCTTGCTGGGGCTGGGCCAGCCCCGGGGCAGCCCCACCCCCAAGGCAGCTCCTCTGAAGCTGGGGCTGGGGTCCGGCTGCTTTGGCTCCAAGGCTTCTGGGGGTGTAAGTGGGGGGCTCACCAGGCTCCCTCTTCCTCTTCCACACCAACTCTGTGGGTTCAGAATCTGGGTCCTCCAAACTGCTACTCCCTGGGGAGCCCAAGGGATCACTGTGATGGAGGCTTCATTGATTGATTGCTTGCCGCCAACCAGTCACTGTCTAAAGCTTTGCATAGCTCCCTCAGTTCGCACCACAGTTCTAGGCAGCAGGTTACTAAGACCAGGTCTACTTTACAGATGGAGAAACTGAGGCACGGGACAATGAGAGGCCTTGTCCAAGGTCACACCACAAGTAAATAATGAATCTGGGATCCAAATGCAAGCATTTGGGGACCAGGGCTTCAGCCCTTATCCCTAGGGACTACAGTTTCTTTTGTCCCCTTCCCACTCCCAAAATTGCTCCCTCCCGAGACAAGGCATCACCAGTAACAGCACCTTATTGTCCCCCAGCCATTGTTCTGACACCTTTATCTGAAACTCAACTTAGCATCCAGTGCAGTTAAAACTCTCTAAGAACTGAAGCGCATATTTAAAGGTCTGCGCAGGCCGGGCGCGGTGGCTCACACCTGGAAAGTAATCCCAGCACTTTGGGAGGCCAAGGAGGGCAGATCCCTTGAGGTCAGGAATTTGAGACCAGCCTGGGCAACATGGTGAAACCCCATCTCTACTAAAAATACAAAAAGTAGCCAGGTGTGGTGGCGCATGCCTGTGGTCCCAGCTACTTGGGAGGCTGAGGCAGGAGAATCACTTGAGCCCAGGAGGTTGAGGCTGCAGTGAGCCAAGATCACACCACTGTATTCCAGCCTGGGTAACAGAGCGAGACCCTGTCTCGAAAATAAATAATAATAAAATAAAAGTCTATGCATAAGCTAAAGGAGGTGACCCCGAAGTCTTATAAGCTCCAGGAAGGTGGGAGATCTGAGCTGTTTTTCCTTGACAAGTATAAGGTCTAGCATGTGGTGGGTGGTTACTATATTCTGGTCAAGTTGAACTGATGGTTGTGGCCCTCACTTATAGCCAATTTGCTTGTGGTTTAGACACAATAATAACAAGCTTGGTGATGTCAAATGGAGACAAGGCACAACTTAGGGGGATATACCGACAGTACTCACGGCAAAGGATGGAGTGAAATCTTGCCTCCTCCTCCACTTACTTGCAGTGCCTTGATCCTCCTTCCTTTCTTTCTTTCTCTTTTTTTTTCTTTTTTGAGACAGAGTCTTGCTCTGTTGCCCAGGCTAGAGTGCAGTGGCACGATCTCCGCTCACAGCAACCTCCACCTCCCAGGTTCAAGCGATTCTCCTGCCTCAGCTTTCCGAGTAGCTGGGATTACAGGCGCCAGCCACCACCCCCAGCTAATTTTTGTATTTTTGGTAGAGACCGGGTTTCACCTTGTTGGCCAGGCTGGTCTGGAACTCCTGACCTCAAGTGATCCGCCTGCCTCAGCCTTCCAAAGTGTTGGGATTATAGGCGTGAGCCACCGCGCCCAGCCCTCCTTTCTTTCAAATGGGTTCTTGTGACTGTTATAGAAAATAGTGTCTGTCAAGGTGTTTAGCCTTTGTGCATGGAACTTAGTAAGCACTCAATGAAACATTCACTTGATTTTTTTTTTTTTTCTGTAAGAGATAAGGTGTCTATCATTCTGTGGCCCAGGCTGGAGTGCAGTGGCACGGTCATAGCTCACTGCAGCCTTGGACTCCTGGGCTCAAGCCATCTTCCCACCTCAGTCTCCCAAAGTGCTGGGATTATAGGCATGCACCAGTCTACCTGGTCTCACTTACATTTATTATTTATTTATTTATTTTTTGAGACGGAGTCTCGATCTTGTTGCCCAGGCTGGAGTGCAATGGCTCAATATCGGCTCACTGCAACCTCCGCCTCCTGGGTTCAAGCAATTCTCCTGCCTCAGCCTCCTAAGTAGCTGGGATTACAGGCACGCGCCACCATGCCTAGCTAATTTTTGTACTTTTAGTAGAGACGGGTTTCATTATGTTGGCCAGGCTGGTCTTGAACTCCTGACCTCAGGTGATCCACCTGCCTCAGGCTCCCAGAGTGCTGGGATTACAGGCGTGAGCCACCGCACCCGGCCTTAAATTTTTTTTTTCAACAGGGTCTCCCTCTCTTGCCCAGGCTGGAGTGCAGTGGCATGATCTCAGCTTACTGCAACCTCCAACTCCCGGGTTCAAGTGATTCTCATGCCCCAGTTTGCCAAGTAGCTGGGATTACAGGCGTGCACCACCTTGCCCAGCTACTTTTTGTATTTTAAGTAGAGATGAGGTTTCACCATGTTGGCGAGGCTGGTCTCAAACTCTTGACCTCCAGTGATCCACCCACCTTGGCCTCCCAAAGTGCTGGGATTACATGTGTGAGTCACCATTCCTGGCCCAGACATAAGATCTTAAAAACCAATGGCAGGTATGAAACCCCGTCTCTATTAAAAATACAAAAAAATTAGCCAGGCATAGTGGCGGGTGCCTGTAGTCCCAGCTACTCGGAGGCTGAGGCAGGAGAACTGTGTGAACTCGGGGGGCGGAGCTTGCAGTGAGCCGAGATCGTGCCACTGCGCTCCAGCCTGGGCGACAGAACGAGACTCCGTCTCAAAAAAAAAAAAACAAAACAAAAAAACACGGCAGGTTCTAGGACTGTGGAACAAGACCAAAACTTGGCCTGGGTCACATAGAAGAGGGGCTGAAATCCTGTTATCTATAGAAAGCCTGAAGAAGAATTTGAACATCTGTTATATAACATTCCTGTAGCCGGGGTGGTGGCTTGTGCCTGTAATCCCAGATACTTGAGGGGCTGAGGAGGAGGATCACTTGATACCAGGAGTTCGAGACCAGCCTGGGCAACAAAGCGAGACCCCGTCTCTAAAACAAACCTTTTAAAAAATTAGCCAGGCATGGCTGGACGCGGTGGCTCATGCCTGTAATCCCAGCACTTTGGGAGGCCGAGGCAGGCAGATCACAAGGTCAGGAGATTGAGACCATCCTGGCTAACACGGTGAAACCCTGTCTCTACTAAAAAATACAAAAAAATTAGCCGGGCGTAGTGGCGGGCGCCTGTAGTCCCAGCTACTTGGGAGGCTGAGGCAGGAGAATGGCGTGAACCTAGGAGGCGGAGCTTGCAGTGAGCTGAGATTGCGCCAGTGCACTCCAGCCTGGGTGACAGAGCGAGACGCCATCTCAAAAAAAAAAAAAAATTAGACAGTCATGGCATACTACTACTAGGGAGGCTGACGGGGAGGATCGTCTGAGCCCAAGAGTTTGGGGCTGCAGTTAGCTATAACACCACTGCACTCCAGCCTGGTGACATAGTAGGAACCGACATTTATCAACCTCAGGGCATTTACACCCAGCAATCTGACAAAGTTGGCACTATGCTTACACCATTTATAAATGAGGAAACTGAAGCTCAGAGAGGTTGAGACACTTGCCCAAGCTCACAGAGCATATCGTGGTCAGGCAGGCATTCAGGCCCGGCTCTGTCTGATCCCAGAGCCCTGTCCTGAGAAAGACAAGAGGGAGGCTGGCTGCAGCAGCTCAGGCTTGTAATCCCAGCACTTTGGGAGGCTGAGGCAGGCAGATCACCTGAGGTCAGGAGTTCAAGACCAGTCTGGCCAGCATAGTGAAACCCGTCTCTACAAAAAATGCAAAAAATAGCCAGGTGTGGTGGCACGCCCTTGTAATCTCAGCTACTCAGGAGGCTGAGGCAGGAGAATCCCTTGAACCCGGAAGATGGAGGCTGCAGTGAGCCGAGATCACACCACTGCATCCCAGCCTGGGCAACAGAGCAAGACCCCATCTCAAAAAAAAAAAGAAGGGGGGGGCCAGGCGCGGTGGCTCACGCCTGTAATCCCAGCACTTTGGGAGGCCGAGGCAGGCGGATCACGAGGTCAGGAGACAGAGACCATCCTGGCTAACATGGTGAAACCCCATCTCTACTAAAAGTACAAAAAAAATTAGCCAGGCGTGGTGGCGGGTGCCTGTAGTCCCAGCTACTAGGGAGACTGAGGCAGGAAAATGGTGTCAACCCAGGAGGCGGAGCTTGCAATGAACCGCGATGGCACCATTGCACTCCGGCCTGGGCGACAGTGGGAGACTCTGTCTCAAAAAAAACAAAAAACAAACAAAAAAAATGGCCAGGCGCGGTGGCTCACGCCTGTAATCTTAGCACTTTGGGAGGCTGAGGCGGGCAGACCACGAGGTCAGGAGATCGAGACCATCCTGACCAATATGGTGAAACTCCATCTCTATTAAAAATACAAAAATTAGCTGTGGTGGCAGTCGCCTGTAGTCCCAGCTACTTGGGAGGCGGAGGTAGGAGAATTGCTTGAATCCGGGAGGCAGAAGTTGTGGTGAGCCAAGATCACGCCACTGCACTCCAGCCTGGGTGACAGACAGGGAGACTCCGTCTTAGAAACAACAAGAACAACAACAAAAAAACAAAAAACAAAAAAAGAAGGGTGGGCATGGTGGCACATGTAATCCCAGCACTTTGGGAGCCCGAGGCGGGTGGATCACCTGAGGTCAGGCGTTCGAGACCAGCCTGGCCAACATGGTGAAACCCCGTCTCTACTAAAAATGGAAAAAGTATCCAGGCATGGTGGCAGGCGCCTGTAATCCCAGCTACTCGGGAGGCTGAGGCAGGAGAATCACTTGAACCTGGGGGGCGGAGGTTGCGGTGAGCGGAGATCACGCCACTACACTCCAGCCTGGGCAACAGAGCAAGACACCATCTCAAAAAAAAAAAAAAGACAAAAAGGATAGACACCTAAAGATCAGCAGTGGTTTCCTCAGGGCTGGAAATGTGGAGATCTTTATAGTCTTCTGGTTTACACATAGCGTATTTCCTGCCTATAATAACAAAAAAGAAGAAAAAGTTATTTTTAGATGTTCCCAAAATCTAACGCATTTGCTATCAGGAAAAGCTCCTGGAGAAGAATGCTTTTTGGTTACGATCCCCATGGGAAGCATCCTGCAATCACAGTGGGTGACTGAGGTCTGTCATAAAGATAAGAGAATTTGCAGGAAAAGCTTCAAAGGCCGGCACAGTGGCTCACTCCTATAATCTCAGCACTCTGGGAGGCCGAGGCGGGCGGATCACTCCTTGAGTCCAGGAGTTCAAGACCAGCCTGGATGTGGCAATACCCCGTCTCTAGAAACAAATTAAAAAATTAGCTGGGTGTGGTGACCTGCACCTGTACTCCCAGCTACTCGGGAGGCTGAGGTGGGAGGATCGCCTGAGCCCAGGAGGTTGAGGCTGCAGTGAGCCATGATTTTGCTGCTGCACTCCAGCCTGGGTGACAGGGTGAGACTCTGTGTCAATAACAAACTAACAAACAAACAATAACTAACTAAATACATAAAAATTTTAAAAGGCTTCAATCACAACCCTAGCACCCTGGGACACTGGGCAGATGTTGCCATCCCCAGAAACCATGGCTCTGGGTCAGGTGAGTGACCTGTTCTCAGGACAGGCTTGAAGCTGAATTCACTCCCGTCCTGCCATCCATCTCCTCTCAGTTGTCTGACCCCAGATGGAAGGCAGAGGACCAGGGAACCCCAGATCTGTCCAAAGAACCAGAGCCAAGTAGAGGCGCGTGAAAAGTGGATCTAGAAAGCCAAGTGGGAACTATCTTATCCTACCCAACCCAGAACACAAAAACAGCCCATCGGCCGGGCGCGGTGGCTCACACCCATAATCTCAGCACTTTGGGAGGCCAAGGTGGGCAGATCCTGAGGTCAAGAAATTGAGACCATCCTGGCCAACATGGTGAAACCCGTCTCTACTTAAAAAATACAAAAATTAGCTGGGTGTGGTGGCGCACACCTGTAGTTCCAGCTACTTGGGAGGCTGAGGCAGGAGAATCACTTGAACCCAGGAGGCGGAGGTTGCAGTTAGCTAAGATCACGCCACTGCACTCCAGCCTGGTGACAGAGCAAGACTCTGTCTCAACAACAACAACAACAACAACAACAAAAAACCAAACCAGCCCATCAGCCGGATGAGATGGCTCACACCCGTAATTCCAGCACTCTGGGAAGCCAAGGCCGGCGGATCACCTGAGGTCAGGAGTTTGAGACCAGCCTGGCCAACATGATGAAACTCCGTCTCTACCAAAAATACAAAAATTAGCCGGGTATGGCGGCAGGCGCCTATAATCCCAGCTACTCGGGAGGCTGAGGCAGGAGAATCATTTAAACCCGAGAGGCAGAGGTTGCAGTGGGCTGAGCTCATGCCATTGCACTCCAGCCTGGGTGACAAGAGTGAAACTCCGTCTCAAAAAACACCCAAAAACCAAAAACCAGCCTGTCCTTCCACCAGTGGGAACACTTCTTGGAGAAATATTTGTTCTCCAGTACAATACAGTGCAGACAAAAAACTAGGAAAGAACAAAGAGTTGGCAACAATGTACGGTTCATCAATCAAAGAAAATGGTTTAAATGAATTATGCCCCAGACTATGAAAAACAAGTCCAAAAAAAGAGAAAGAGGTGGAAAAATCACAACATCTATTGTGATTGTAGCAGGTTGAATTGTGGCCCCAAAGCAGATATGTATGGGCCGGGCCCGGTGGCTCACGCCTGTAATCCCAGCACTTTGGGAGCCTGAGGCAGGAGGATCCTTTGAGTCCAGGAGTTCAAGACCAGCCTGGGCAATATAGCAATACCCCATCTCTACAAAAAAATTTTAAAAATTAGCCAGGTGTGGTGATACATGCCTGTAGTCCCAGCTACTTGGGAGGCTGAGGCAGGAGGATCACCTGAGCCCGGGAGGTCAAGGCTGCAGTGAGACATGATTGTGCCACTGCACTCTAGCCTAGGCAACAGGGTAAGAGCCTGAAAAGAAAGAAGAAAAGAGAAGAAGAGCAGGAGGAGGAGCAGGGGGAAGGGAAAGGAAGAAAGAAGAAAGAAGAAGAACAAAGGGAAGGGGAGGGGGAGGAGAAGAAGAAGGGGAAGGAAGAAAGAAGATGAAAGGGAAGGGGAGGGAGGCGGGGGAGGAGGAGAAGGGAAAGGGGAAGGAAAAAAGAAGAAAGAAGAAGAAAGGGGGCCGGGCGCGGTGGCTCACGCCTGTAATCCCAGCACTTTGGGAGGCCGAGGCAGGCGGATCACGAGGTCAGGAGATCGAGACCATCCTGGCTAACATGATGAAACCTCATCTCTACTAAAAAATACAAAAAATTAGCCAGGCATGGTGGCGGGCGCCTGTATTCCCAGCTATTGTGGAGGCTGAGGCAGGAGAATGGCGTGAACCCGGGAGGCAGAGCTTGCAGTGAACCAAGATTGTGCCACTGCACTCCAGCCTGGGCGACAGAGCGAGACTCCGTCTCAAAAAAAAAAAAAAAAAAAAAAGGAAGGGAAGGGGAGGAGGAGGAGGAAAGAAGAAGAAAGAAGAAATGTGTAACCTTTGGTATCTGTGAATGTGGCCTTATTTGGAAATAGGGTCTTTGCAGATGGAATTAAGTTAAAGATCTCACTATCAGAACATCTTGGATTTTAGGGTAGGCCCTAAATCCAATGACTGATATCCTTAGAAACAAGAGGGCCAGGTGCAGTGGTTCACACCTGTAATCCCAGCGATTTGGAAGTCTGAGGCAGGAGGATTACTAAGCCCAAGAGTTGGTACATGCTACCCACCCTCCGGCTAATATTTTAGAAGAGCTGGGAGGATCCTTGAGCCCAGGAGTTTGAGGCTGTAGTGAGCTATGACTGCAGCTATGATTGCACCACTGCACTCCAGCCTGCGCAATAAATTGAGACCCTGTCTCTCTTTTTTTTTTTTTTTTTGAGATGGAGTCTTGCTGTTGCCCAGGCTAGAGCGCAGTGGTGCAATCTTGGCTCACCACAACCTCTGCCTCCCAGGTTCAAGCGATTCTCCTGTCTCAGCCTCCAGAGTAGCTGGGACTACAGGTGCATGCCACAACGCCCAGCTAATTTTTGTATTTTTAGTAGAGACAGGGTTTCACCATATTGGTCAGGCTGGTCTCGAACTCCTGATCTCAGGTGATCCACCTGCCTTGGCCTCCCAAAGTGCTGGGATTACAGGCGTGAGCCACTGCGCCTGGTGAGACCCTGTCTCTTAAAAAAAAAAAAAAAAAAAACTGTTAAAAACCACCAGACAGAGTGGCTCTTGCCTACAATTCCAGCTACTCTAGAGGCTGAGGCAGGATTTGAAGCTCAAAGTTCAAGACCAGTCTGGGCAACATAAGGAGACGCCCATCTCTACAAAAAAAAAAAATTTTTTTTTTGAGACGGAGTTTCACTCTTGTTGCCCAGGCAGGAGTGCAGTGGCACAATCTCAACTCACTGCAACCTCCGCCTCCCGGGTTCAAGCGATTCTCCTGCTTCAGCCTCCCAAGTAGCTGGGATTACAGGCGCCCACCACCCCTGCCAACTAATTTTTGTATTTTTAGTAGAGACAGGGTTTCACCATGTTAGCCAGGCTGGTCTCAAACTCCTGACCTCAGGTGATCCACCTGCCTCAGCCTCCCAAAGTGCTGGGATTACAAGCGTGAGCCACCACGTCTGCCACAAGACCCCATTTCTACAAAAAATTTAAAAATCAGGCAGATGAGGCACCATGTGCCTGTAGTCTCAGGCACTGGGGAGGCTGGGGAGGATCACTTGTGCCCAGGAGTTTGAGGCTGCAGTGAGCTATGATGGCACCACCGCACTCCAGCCTGGGCAGCAGAGCGAGCAAGCAAGCAAGCAAGCAGGGAAGAAAGGAAGAAAGGAAGAGGAGGGGAGGGGAGGCGAGGGGAGGCGAGGGAAGGGAGAAAGAGAGAGGGAGGGAGGGAGAGAGAGAGGAAGTGAGGAAGGGAGGGAAGAAGGAAGGAAGGGAGTGAGGGAGGGAGGGAGGGAGGGAAGAAAGAGAGAGAGAGAGAGGGAGAAAGACAGGCCAGGTGAAAGCCATCTTCTATGACTCAACCTTCAAAACCTCATTGACTCAATTCCTTCATACTCCATTGGTTGGAGCAGTCACAAGTCCCACCCAGGTTTAGGAGGTGGGAACACAGGTCCTGTGATATGGTTTGGATTTGTATCCCCCCCACCCAAATCTTATGTTGAATTGTAATCCCTGGTGTTGGAGGAAGGGCCTGGTGGGAGGTGATTGGATCATGGGGTCAGAGGCCTCCCTTGCTGTGCTTGTGATAGTGAGTGAGTTCTCACAAGATCTGGTTGTTTAAAAGTGTTCACCAATATGACAAACAGATCTCCAGGCCAGGCGCAGTGGCTCACACCTGTAATCCCAACACTTTGGGAGGCCAAGGCAGGTGGATCATTTGAGGTCAGGAGTTCGAGACCACCCTGACCAACACAGTGAAACCCCATCTTTACTAAAAATACAAAAAAACTAGCTGGCCACAGTGGCGCAGGCCTATAATCCTGGCTACTCAGGAGGCTGAGGCAGGAGAATGGCGTGAACCCAGGAGGCGGAGCTTGCAGTGAGCCGAGATCATGCCACTGCACTCCAGCCTGGGCGACAGAGCGAGACTTCGTCTTAAAAAAAAAAAAGAGAGAGAGAGAGCCATGATCAGGAAGCCGTCATGATGACTTGTGGAGACGCTGGCCCTGAAGTAGCTGCAACCCTCTTAATACACAGGAAGAAAGGGCTGGGAGACAAGCACAGGCAGCCCCTCTGTGAACCCTCAGGTAGGAGCCACCAGCCATTTTACTGCTGAGTTTAGCATTTGGGGTTGTTCAAGAGTCCAGGGCTTCTGGGAGACTAGAGAATGCCTTCATCTCCAGGGCACTAAAACCTCAGTTACCTAATCTGTGAAATGGGTATGATCATAGCAATCCCACAAAACTGCTGGTAGGGTTACATGTAATTATTTCTTTTTCTTTCTTCTTCTTCTTCTTCTTCTTCTTCTTTCTTCTTTCTTCTTCTTTTCTTTTTTTAAGAGATGGGTTCTCCCTATGTATGTTGCCCAGGCTGGACTTGAACTCCTAGGCTCAAGTGATCCTCCCACCTTGGCCTTCCAAAGTGCTGGGATCACAGTAAATTTTTTCTTGTAGAAACAGGGTCTCCCTGCTGGGCACGGTGGTTCACGCCTGTAATTCCAGCACTTTGGGAGGCTGAGGCGGGTGGATCACCTGAGGTCAGGAGTTTGAGACCAGCCTGGCTGACATGGTGAAACCCCGTCTCTACTAAAAATACAAAAAATTGTCCAGGCGTGGTGGCTCACGCCTGTAATCCCAGCACTTTGGGAGGCCGAGGTGGGCGGATCACGAGGTCAGGAGATGGAGACCATCCTGGCTAACACGGTGAAACCCCATCTCTACTAAAAATACAAAAATTAGCCAGGCGTGATGGCGGGCGCCTGTAGTCCCAGCTACTGGGGAGGCTGAGCCAGGAGAATGGCATGAACCTGGGAGACAGAGCTTGCAGTGAGCCGAGATCGCGCCACTGCACTCCAACCTGGGCAACAGAGCGAGACTCTGTCTCAAACAAACAAAACAAAACAAAACAAAAAACAACAAAAAATTAGCTGGGCGTGGTGGTGGACACCTGGAGAAGGAGGAAAATCGCTTGAATCCGGGAAACAGAGGTTGCAGTGAGCCGAGATCACACCATTGCACTCCAGCCTGGGTAACAAGAGCAAAACTCCGTCTCAAAAAAATAATAATAAAATAACAATCGATTGGTTGAGAGATCACCATATGCCATATGCCAGAAGTTGCTTTAAGCATTTTGCATGTGTTAATCCATTTTACACCTCACAATATCGCTACCAAGTAGAAACAATTATCTCGATTTTGTAAAAGGTGAAACAGGAAAAAACCACTAGAGCAAAGCTGCCAGACCCTCAACCTTCTTTTCCTTCTGACTCCAAATGACAGGCAGCATTCTTTCCATCTCTCACCTCCTCATGCCTCCTGTGGAAAAAATGAATGGACAGATGAGAAAAGTTGGAGCTGGAGAAAGACCGTGTTCCTCGTGTTCGGTGGGACCTGGGAAGGCTGCTAAAACCCAGGGAGCAGGAGTTCTCCTCCCTCCATCCTTATCCACAGTCTGGGTCCCATCCAGACCCTCCTCTCCAAACCGGGGGTTTGGGACAAAGCAGGTGAGGGAGGCATTTCATTCCAGAGCAGAAGAAGGGGGTTCCTCCCCCATCCCACTCCCGTTTCATTTTTAAGGGGGAAAAGCAGCTCCCCATACGGTGAGGCAATGAGGCGGACCAGCAGGTTCCCGGGGATCTCCGCAGCCCCGTTGCCATAACAACCGAACTCACTCGCAGTCGCTGATAGGGGAGTCAGCTGGGACCACAGCTTGGGCAGGAAAGGGATGAGGGAGTAGGAAAGAAACTTCAAGATCAACCACTGGCCCTCACGCCGAGCTGCGCACACCCCAAGGCCAAGGGAGGCTGGCAACCCTTGTCGTCCTTGGGAAATGGGGGAGGGCACTGGTACCCCTTGGACCTCCCTCCTGAATCTGGGCAGCTTTAAACATTTTTTTTTTCCAACTTTGGAAGACAGTTGTACAACCTCGAAGGAGAGGAGGTGTCAGGATTCACAAAGCGTATGGATCACACATGGCTCTAGGGGACATTCTCTTTGCTCTGTTTTATTTTTATTGTATATTTTATTCTTTTATTTTGAGATAGGGTCTTGCTCTATTGCCCAGGCTGGAGTCCAGTGGTGTGATCACACCTTACTGCAGCCTCAAATTACTGGACTGAGGTGATCCTCCTGCCTCAGCCATGCGAGTAGCTGGGACTACAGACATGCACCACCACACCTGGCTAATTTTTAAAATATATATGTTTTTGTAGAGATAGGGTCCTGCTACATTGCCCAGGCTGGTCTCAAACTCCTGGCTTCAAGTGATCCTCTTGCTTTGGCCTCCCAAAGTGTTGGGATTATAGGCATGAGCCACTGCATCCAGCATCATTTCTTTTCATTATTATTATGATTATTATTTTGAGATGGAGTCTCGCTCTGTCACCCAGGCTGTAGTGGAGTGGTGTGACCTTGGCTCACTGCAACCTCCACCTCCCAGGTTCAAGTGATTCTCCTGCCTCAGCCTCCTGAGGAGCTGCGATTACAGGTAACCTCCACAATGCCTGGCTAACTTTTTTTTCTTTTTGAGACGGAGTCTTCCTCTGTCGCCCAGGCTGGAGTGCAATGGCGCGATCTCAGCTTACGGCAATCTCTGCTTCCCGGGTTCAAGCAATTCTTCTGCCTCAGCCTCCCGAGTAGCTGGGACTACAGGCAGGCGCCTACCACCACACCTGACTAATTTTTGTATTTTTAGTAGAGACGGAGTTTCACCATATTGGCTGGTCTCAAACTCCTGACCTTATAATCCGCCCACCTCGGCCTCCAAAATGCTGGGATTACAGGCGTAAGCCACTATCCCTGGCCTAACCTGGCTAATTTTTATATTTTTAGTAGAGACAGGGCTTCACCATGTTGGCAAGGCAAGTCTCGAACTCATGACCTCAAGTGATCTGCTCACCTTGGCCTCCCAAAGTGCTGGGATTACAGCCACTGCACCCAGCCTAATCTTTTTTTTTTTTTTTTTTTTAAATGAAGACAGGGTCTCACTACATTACCCAGCTGGTCTCGAGCTCCTGGCCTCAAGCGATCCTCTCATCTCAGCCTCCTGAGTAGCTTGGATTACAGGCACAAGCCATCATGACTGGCTTCCTTTTTTTTTTTTTTTTTTTAATGAATATGGTAAAGTGCACAAATCATAAATTTCAGCGTGGTGAATTTCTACACGTGTATACCTGTGTATCCACCATGCAGACCAGAAGAACATAATTGTCCCTCCAGGAAATTCCCAAATGCTCTTTCTCAGTCAGTATCCTCCAATTTGACATTTTCATCATAGATTAGTTTTGCCTACCCCTGAACTTTGTGTAAGTGGAAATACATGGTTTGTCGTCTTGCTTTTACGCAACATTGTATCTGTGAGAATCTATTGTCATGTCTGCTTTCCTGTTCTTTTTCTTGGTTGTATAATAATCCATTGTGGAGATGTATCACAATGTATTTATCTTACTGCTGATAGATATTTGAGTTGTTTGCAGTGAATGGTTATTGTAGATAAAGCAGCTATGAACATCCTTGTACATGTCTTTTGATGAACATAAGTTTACCTCTTGTGGGGATGTGGACAGGGTCTCACTCAGTAACTCAGGCTGGATCGCAGGAACCTGGCTCACTGCAGCCTCAACCGCCCAGGCTCAAGTGATCCTCCCACCTCAGCCTCTCGAATAGCTGGGACCACAGGTATACACTATCACACCCAGCTAATTTTTTTGTAATTTTTGTAGAGACAGGGTCTCGCTTTGTTGTCCAGGCTGCTCTTGAACCCCTGGTTCAAACTATCCTCCTGCCTTGGCCTCCCAACATGCTGGGGTTACAGGCGTGAGCCACTGTGCCCAGCATCTTGGTTTATTGAATGCTGGTGACCTGCCAAGAACTTTACATCACTTATATCCTTACATAGTCACAACGTTATTTATTTAATTCACTCAGTCAACACATATTTGAAAATCTAGTAGGTGCCAGGTATTGTGGGACACACCGAGAATAAGAGTCAAGGTTTATAAATTTTGGCCAGGTGCGGTGGCTCACACCTGTAATCCCAGCACTTTGGGAGGCCGAGATGAACAGATCACTTGAGGCCGAGACAAACAGATCACTTGAGGTCAGGAGTTCAAGACCAGCCTGGCCAACATGGTGAAAACCTGTCTCTATTAAAAATACAAAGATTAGCCGGGAATGGTGGCACCTGCCTATTGTCCCAGCTACTTGGGAGGCTGAGGCAGGAGAATCACTTGAACACGGTGGAGGTTACAGTGAGCCGAGATCACGCTGCTGCACCCCAGCCTGGGTGATAGAGTGAGACACCATCTCAAAAAAGAAAGAAACAGCTTGGCTCAGTGGCTCATGCCTGTAATCCCAGCACTTTGAGAGGCTGAGGCGGGCGGATCACCTGAGGTCAGGAGTTCAAGACCACCCTGGCCAACATGGTGAAACCCTGTCTCTACTAAAATCACAAAATTTAGCTGAGTGTACAGCCATGCCTGTAATCCCACCTACTGGGGAGGCTGAGGCAGGAGAATCGCAGAGGTTGCAATGAGCCAAGATCGTGCCTTTGCACTCCAGCCTGGGTGTTCAGAGCGAGACTCTGTCAAAAAAAACAAAAAAGGAAGGAAGCAAGAAAGGAAGGAAGGAGGGAGGGAAAAAGGAAGGAAGGAAAAGAGAGAGAGAGAGAGAGATGTTATTCCAGGAGGGAATGGTCATGAAAACAAATAAGTAAGCGATATCAGAGAGTTAATGGAGATTGACTAGGGGTGGTGACATGGAGCTGAGGCGTGAAGAAGAAGGCAGAGCTGGTTGGCCATGTGAGATCTAGGGGGAAGGGTGTTGCAGGAAGTGGGAACAACCAGTGCAAAGGCTCAGTGTAGCTGGAGTGGACTTAGCGATGGAGAGAGGAATCCCAAGGAGGTTGAGTGAGGGATTTCGGTCTTAATCTAAGAGCCATGGCGGTGCATTGCAGCGTTCTCAATAGAAGGAAAACGTGAACTTCCTTGTCTTTTCAAAGATACCTCTGGGCTGTGGTAAGGACGGATGGAGGCCAGGGCAGAAGCCAGGAGCCTGTGGCCAAGGCAACCTCAGTAAATCCAGGCAAGTGATGAAGGAGTTGGGAAGCACAAAAGTGGAAAGAAGTGGGTGAATTCACGTTCTCTTTTTTTTTTTTTTTTAGGGACAGGGTCTTGCTCTGTTGCCCAGGCTGGAGTGCAGTGGTGCGACCTCCGCTCACTGCAACCTCCGCCTCCCGGTTCAAGGGATTCTCGTGCCTCAGCCTCCCGAGTAGCTGGGATGACAGGCATGCACCACCACACCGGCTAATTTTTGTACTTTTTTTTTTTTTAGTAGAGACAGGGTTTCGCCATGTTGGCCAGGCTGGTCTTGAACTCCTGACCTCAAGTGATCCACCTGCCTTGGCCTCCCAAAGTGCTGGGATTACAGGTGTGAGCCACTGTGCCTGGCCCTTGACTAATTTTTTCAAAAAAATTTTTTTTTTAATTTGAGACAGGGGTTTCGCTATGTTGCCCAGGCTGGTCTCCAACTCCTTGCCTCAAGTGATCCTCCCACCTCAGCCTCAGGTTCTTTGAACATAATTATTCCCAAATTACAAGTAGAGAGAACTGAATCTCAGAGAGGTTAAGTAATTTGCCTAAGGTCACACAGCTATGAAATGGAGAAAGGGTAAGAAAATCCGTCTGACCTTCCTTCAGTTATGCAAAAGATGTCATGTGGTGGGTGGTGTGACCTCAGAAAACCTAGAGGAGTGGGGGGTCCAGGCTGGTGGTGGGGTAATAAGACCCAAGTGAACACACCTGTCCTGCTGGGGTAACTACTCACCCCTAGGCCACAGGGCAAGCAAAGTGGCAAGCCGCAAATTGAATTGGGGGGCTGGAGGGGGATGTTTCATTGATGTCACAAATGAGCATGGACCCCGTATCTGCAGCAGGGATGTTTCAGGGCCAGTCAAGGAGATGATCGGGGCCCACGGACCCTCAAACGCGTCAGGAAGCCAGGCTGGTCCCTGAGTGTGTGTGATGGGGTGTGTGTTTGTGGGGGGGCACTGCCGGGAGCTGCCGCCGCCCGCCCCATTAGCAACACCGTCATTATCCCAGATTTATGTATGTATAATTCTTCTTCCTCAAACCGCTCCAACATCTCCCCTGGCTGCAAACCCGCCTCCCCCGGAAACAGCCACGGAGCCGCCTGCCACCGGGCCATTAGCACGCAGGGAAGGGGGTGTGGAGGGAGGGGGCAGGCAGCAGGGAAGGGGAAGGGGGGAGCCAGGAGAGGACGAGGAAGGCAGGAGCTGTAAGGATGGGAGTGAGGCGGCAAGATGGAAGAGGGGAAGGAAACAGGGCTTGGAGGAGCTGGGGAACCTCGGAGGGTTCTGGGGGGAGGGGGGGACACGTGTCCCAGAGGACCTGGCCGCAGACAGCGGGCCCCAGGGGCAGCCGAGGGTCTCCTGCGCCCTTTCTGGCCAATGCCAGGGCTGAGAATAGGGGGGTGGGGATCCCATCGGCCGGGACTCTGTGGCTGGGTCTCAGCCCAGAAGTTACTAGAGGGCCTCGCGCCGGAACCCCTCCCCCACTCTGGGAACCTCCACCTGCGGGGTGGGGTGGGGGTCTCCAGGCGGGGCGCGGGGAGGGCGCCGGCTGCAGAGCTGGGAGCCCGGAGCGATGACTCCATCACCCTCCACTTTTCCCTCCTCGCCCCCGAAACTGGCCCCCTCCCTTCTTGCGCCCCTCGGGTTGGGGGCGCGGGAGAGCCCCCTCTATTACGAGGGAAATCAATGCCGCATTAATGCAAGGTTTCCAGGCGAGGAGCGGGGATCGCTTCATAAAAGATGCATTGTTTCCATGGCCTGCACGCGGCTCCCTCCCCAGCATCCTGCAAGATGGCGGCGGCCCCAGGGAGAGAGGGGGAGGGGCTGGGGGGAGCGCGGCCCCCTCTCTCCTGCTGGGGAAGGTGGGAAGAGAGGCTGGGATGAAGGAAGGAAAGGGAGAGAGGGAGAGAGAGAGGGAGGGAGGAGGGGGCTGGGAGGCTGAGAGAGCGTTAGGGAGGCGGGAGCCAGTCAGAAGGAGGAGGGCGGGCTGGGGAGGGGGAGAGGGGATGGCCTGGAACTCGGAGGAGGGAAGAGAAACGCAGCCCAAGGAGGTGGCACGGGGGAGGCAGGAGAGCAGGCCGGGGGGTTGGGAGTGGGGGGCGCTGGGGCCTGGAGGGGGGCAGGCGGGGGTGGGGGCAAAAGGGGAGGGAAAGGGGAGAAAAAGGCCGACCGGGCAGCGTGGCCAGGAGAGAGGGGAAGACAGTACCCCCTCAACTGTCTCTAGGCTCCAAGCCCCCCTCCAGCGGGGTCCTTTGGTTCTCTCTCCTGGTCCCCGTGCACCCTCCCGCCGAGGAGATGATCCAGGGAGCCCCCATTTTCTGGCATGGAGGCCGCTGCACCCCATTGGCTTGCCTCCCTACCCTCCTTCCTGCCTTGGCACCACGGCTGCCATGCTGAGAGGGATCAAGCCTCCTCCATCTGCCTCCCTAGTCAAGGCCTCCGGAGTTGACCCGAAAGAGCTCCTTAGGAAGAAACTGCCGTTTGGGCACACCTGCATCCGTCCTACCTGCTGGGGACGGTTCCAGAAACCAGACAGAGGTTCCAGAGAGGGAAACTGGGGCAGAGGACAGCCGAGAACTCAACACGGGTCTCCACCTGCCCAGCGCCCCACCAGTGACCCCAGACCAACCTCAGCCCCCCTCCTCCCCGCCTTTTCCTCCATCCTCCGCGGGCAACCACGAAGAGAGTTTCAAGGCCCCCCACTTCCCAGCCTTCCTGCTTCGCCGTAGGGGAGCTCCCAAACGCCTGAAAATACCTTTAAATTAGGAAAAAGAGCTAAGCCGCCAGAGTCCTTTGGTCTATTAAAGGAAGAGCAGAGGCCACCGGCGCCCCCACCCCATCCCCAGCCCGATTTTGCATTTGAAGCCCTGACCGCGGATCTAGCCGGAACAATGACGGGGCCTGCCCAGCCGGCCCCAGCTGAATCCCTTTCAGTGGCCCTGGGCCCCCTGCCAGGTGTGCCAAAATTAGGACGGCTCCCCTCCTAGGCCCTTTTCATCCCCCCGGGGCTGCTGGGGCCTCAGAGGCGCTAATGAAGCGCCTCTTGCCGCCTTCCCTCTAGGAAGAGGGGGCCAGGGGGAGCGGGAGGCAGGGCCACATTGGGGGCAGGCACCTGGAAATCTGCCTTCCAAGAACTGCCCCAGGAACATGTTTTTGTGCCTTGGTCAGCGGCAGCTCCCTCCCTCCCTGCTCCTCAGGGTCCTCCCGCAGGTCCTGGTGACATCCACCTCCTCCAGGCAGCCCTCCCAGCCTGCTGGCATTGGCTCCCTACTGTGTTTCCCTTGGAGTTCGGCAGTGGGGGCAGGCTGCCTGGATTCAGATTGGAGCTCCATTGCTTTCTGGCTGTGGCTCAATTAGCCACCCTGAGCCTCAGTTTCCCCGCCCGTCAAGAGAGGAGAATTATAAAAACCTATGTCATGAGACTGTTGTGAAGGAGTCGCTGTGTGAAGAATTGTGGAAGGTCACACGTGCAAAGTGGGTGCAATAATCCCTAGACTTTCGCCTCAGCCACAGGGGGCCCCTCACTGCACCCCAGACACACCCAGTGTGTGCCCATTTCTGGGACTTCCCACTGGCTGTTCTCTTTATTTTATTTGTATTTGTATTTTTTCTTTTGAGGCGGAGTCTTGCTCTGTAGCCCAGGTTGGAGTGCAGTGGTGCAATCTCGGCTCACTGCAACCTCCACCTCCTGGGTTCAAGCAGCTTCCTGAGTAGCTGGGATTACCGGCGCATGCCACCATGCCCAGCTAATTTTTGTATTTTTAGTAGATACCGGATTTCACCATGTTGGCCAGGCTGGTCTAGAACTCCTGACCTCAGGTGATCCACCTGCCTCGGTCTTCCAAAGCGCTGGGATTACAGGCATGAGCCACCGCGCCGGCCTTTTTTTTTTGAGACGGAGTCTTGCTCTGTCGCCCAGGCTGAAGTGCGGTGGCCTGATCTCGGCTCACTGCAAGCTCCGCCTCCCGGGTTCACGGCATTCTCCTGCCTCGACCTCCCGAGTAGCTGAGACTACAGGCGCCCGCCACCATGCCCGGCTAATTTTTTGTATTTTTAGTATTGACTGGGTTTCACTGTGTTAGCCAGGATGGTCTCGATCTCCTAACCTCGTGATCCGCCCGCCTCGGCCTCCCAAAGTGCTGGGATTACAGGCGTGAGCCACCGCCCCTGGCCTTTTTTTTTTTTGAGATGGAGTCTCGCTCTGTCACCCAGGCTAGAGCACAGTGGTGTGATCTCACTGCAACCTCCGCCTCTTGGGTTCAAGCGATTCTCCCACCTCAGCCTCACAAGTAGCTGGGACCACAGGCACATGCCACCACACCTGGCTAATTTTTGTATTTTTAATACAGACAGGGTTTCACCATGTTGGCCAGGCTAGTCTCAAACTCCTGACCTCAGGTGATCCGCCTACCTCTGCCTCCCAAAGTGCTGGGATTACAAGTGTGAGCCACCTTGCCAGGCCTAGTGGTCCCTGTTATTTACCATCATCTGTCTTACAGCCAGCTGACATTGTATTACTTACCTGAACTCAGGGTCTTATGCTCTCGAATCCAAGAACCTGGGTTCAAATCCCGGCTTCACAGTTATTAGCTGTGTGACATTGGGCATGTTACTTAACTTCTCCGAGCCCCTTTCCTCATTTATAAAATGAGGATGGTAATAAAACCCACCTGGAGCCGGGTGCAGTGTCCGGAGTCTGTAATCCCAGCCACTCAGGAGCCCAAGGTAGGAGGGTCCCTTTAGGCCAAGAGTTTGAGACCAGCCTGGGCAACATAGCAAGACCCTGTCTCTACCAAAAAAAAAAAAAAAAAAAAAAAAAAAAGCCAGGCACAATGGCTTACACCTGTAGTCTCTAAAAAAAAATCTGCAAGGCGGGGTGTGGTGGCTCACGCCTGTAATCCCAGCACTTTGGGAGGCTGAGGCAGGCGGATCACGAGGTCAGGAGATCGAGACCATCCTGGCTAACAAGGGGAAACCCCATCTCTACTAAAAATACAAAAAATTAGCCGGGCATGGTGGCGGGCGCCTGTAGTCCCAGCTACTCGGGAGGCTGAGGCAGGAGAATGGCATGAACCCAGGAGGCGGAGCTTGCAGTGAGCCGAGATCGCGCCACTGCACTCCAGCCTGGGCAACAGAGCGAGACTCCATCTCAAAAAAAAAAAAAAAAAAAAGAATCCACAAAAACAAAAAACCCACCTTATATAGCGGGTAATGAATAATTGACTTAGTGAATGAGAAGTCCTCAAAGCAGTGCCTGGACCACAGTACAAGTTATTCCCATAACCAATATTATTTCTGAGCCACCCCATCCCTCAGCAACTAGAATATAAGCCCTCCTGAAAGCTAACTCTGCAGGGATGGTATTGGCTTTATTTATTTATTTATTTAAGAGTTGAGGTCTTGGCCGGGCGTAGTGGCTCATGCCTGTAATCCCAACACTTTGGGAGGCCAAGGTGGGCAGATCACTGAGGTCAGGAGTTTGAGACCGCCTGGCCAACATGGTGAAACCCTGTCTCTACTAAAAATACAAAAACTTAGCTGGGCGTGGTGGCGTGTACCTGTAATCCCAGCTACTCGGGAGGCTAAGGCAGGAAAATCGCTTGAACCCAGGAGGCAGAGGTTGCAGTGAGCTGAGATCACACCACTGGACTCCAGCCTGGATGACAGAGTGAAACTCCATCTCAGGGGGAAAAAAAAAAGAATTTGCCTTGAAGGCTGGGTGCAGTGGCTCACGCCTGTAATCCCAACACTTTGGGAGGCCGAGGTGGGCAGATCTCCTGAGGTCAAGAGTTCAAGACCAGTCTGGTCAACATGGTGAAACTCCACCTCTACTAAAAATACAAAAATTAGCCGGGCATGGTGGTGTGCACCTGTAATCCCAGCTACTCATGAGGCTGAGACAGGAGAATTGCTTGAACCTGGGAGGCAGAGGTTGTAGTGAACCGAGATCGTGCCATTGCACTCCATCCTGGGCAACAAGAGCAAAACTTCATCTCAAAAAAAAAAAAGGAATAATTTGCCGTGAGTCTGTAGCATAGTGCTTAGTCCTTAGCGGGCACTCAATATACTTCATCCAGATTCAGAGGCAGGGAGAATTGTGGGAGACACAGTTTGTCAAATTCACACCTATCTCTTTCCTTTGCTAACACAGGGCTCCTTAAGTGTCAGTGTGCCCTGCCTAATCCTTGCCCTCCAGCCCCCCTTGCTTCTATTTTATTTATTTATGTGTTTATGTATTTTTTTTGTCTTCCAGCCCCTCTTCCAGCTCCCCTTGCCATTATTCCAGCCTTCAAGTCCCGCTTGCTTCTATTTTATTTATTTATTTATTTATTTATTTATTTTTGGGGACAGAGTCTCACTCTGTTACCCAGGCTGGAGGACAGTGGTGCAATCTCAGCTCACTGCAACCTCCGCCTCCCAGGTTCAAGCTACTCTCCTACCTCAGCCTCCCGAGTAGCTGGGATTACAGGCACCCACCACCATGCCCGGCTAATTTTTTGTATTTTTAGTAGAGACGGGGTTTCGTCATGTTGGCCAGGCTGATCTCAAACTCCTGACCTCAAGTGATCCGCCTACCTCAGCCTCCCAACTCCCTTCCTTCTAGAGATGGCTGTGTGACACTCTTCCGGCCAATAAGACTCCAGCAGAAGTCTTCTGGGTGGTTCCAGGAAGAATGAGCATGTTATTATCCAAGACTCAGTGGCTTCATCTATAAAATGGGGCTAAAAATTGCAACTTGCCTCAGGTCTCGAACTCCTGACCTCAAGTGATCCGCCCGCCTCAGCCTCCCAAAGTGCTGGGATTACGGGCGTGAGCCACTGCGCCCAGCCAATACGACCAGTGTCTTGGTAAGAAGAGAATAGACACAAGTACACGAGGGAGAGTCCATGTGATGGAGGAGGCAGAGACTGGATGATGCAGAGATTGGAGAGATGCATCATCTACAAGCCAAGGAGCACCCAGCATTGCTGGCCACCACCAATGCCCGCTGGCCAGGCAGGGGCAAGGAAGGAGTCTCCCTTGCAAGTTTCAGAGGGAACATGGTCCTGTCAACACCTTGATTCCAGGCTTCTGGCCTCCAGGTGTGGAAGAGAATAAATCTCTGTTGCTTTAAGCCACCCAATGGGTAGCACTTCCTTACAGCAGCCTGGGAGACTAACAAGGAGGGTTGAAAGCAGCAAGATTTCTTGCAAAGGCTCCTTCGGACTTCCAGGCTGTGTGACCTGCGGCAAGTCATTTACCCACTTTGGCATTTTTTTTTTTTTTTTTTTAGATGATGTCTCGCTCTGTCACCAGGCTGAAGTGCAGTGGCGCGATCTCGGCTCACTGCAACCTCCGACTACCTGGTTCAAGCGATTCTCCTGCCTCAGCCTCCCGAGTAGCTGGGATTACAGGCACACAACACCACACCCAGCTAATTTTTTATTTGTAGTAGAGACGGGGTTTCACCATGTTGGCCAGGATGGTCTCGATCTCCTGACCTGGTGATCCACCCACCTTGGCCTCCCAAAGTGCTGGGATTACAGGCATGAGCCACTGCGCCCGGCCTTTTTTTTTTTTTTTTTTTAAGAGACAAGGCCTCATTCCGTCACCCAGGCTAACAATCTCCCAGGCTCAAGGAATCCTCCTGCCTCAGCCTCTGGAGTAGCTGAGACTACAGGTGTGTGCCACCACATCCAGCTAATTTTTTGTTATTTTTTAAGAGATTGGGTCTCGCTATGTTGCCCAAGCTGGTCTTGAAGCAATCCTCAAGCAATCCTCCCACTTTGGCCTGCTGAAATGGTGGGATTACAGGCATGAGCCACCATGCCCTGCCCCAGTCTGGCCTTTGTGTGTTTAGCTGGCTCAGAATACAAAGATGGGCCAGCTGTGGTGGCTTACGCCTATAATCTTAGCACTTTGGGGGGCCAAGGCAGGCGGATCACTTGAGGTCAGGAGTTCAAGACCAGCCTGGCCAACATGGTGAAACCCCGTCTCTACTAAAAATACAAAAATTAGCCAGGCATGGTGACAGGCACTTGTAATCTCATATACTCAGGAGGCTGAGGCAGGAGAATTGCCGGAAAGGCAGAGGTTGCAGTGAACCAACATCTCACCACTGCACTCCAGCCTGTACGACAGAGCAAGACTCTGTCTCAAAACAAACAACAATCCAAAAAAAAAAAAACAAAAACCAACAAAGACGAACAAAAAGAGTCCTTCCTGCCTTTCCAAATCTCTCCCAGGCAGAGTTAACACATCCCAGGTGCTCTTACACAGGGTTGAGTAGTTCCTGTGGATTTCAGTTGAGTGATACCTGCCTTGACTCCCCTGCTACGCTAGACCCTATCTCTGAGGACAAGAAATGGGCCTGTTCATCAGCGCAGCTGAGAAAGACCAAACCACCTTCTGTTCTCTTCTTTTCTTTTTTTTTTTTTGAGACGGAGTTTTGCTCTTGTTTCCCAGGCCGGAGTACAATGGCGCGATCTTGATTCACCACAACCTCTGCCTCCTGGGTTCAAGCGATTCTCCTGCCTCAGCCTCCTGAGTAGCTGGGATTACAGGCATGTGCCACCACGCCCGGCTAATTTTGTATTTTTAGTAGAAACAGGGTTTCTCCATGGTGGTCAGGCTGGTCTGAAACTCCTGACCTCTGGTGATCCGCCTGCCTGGCCTCCCAAAGTGCTAGGATTACAGGTGTGCGCCACCGTGCCCGGCCTTGAAGACCAAACCACCTTCTGGATAAAGCCAAGAGATGTAAACCTGCCAGGGTCTCTGGGCACTTGGAAACGCCCATCTGTTTGGAAGTGAGAGAATTAACACATTGGATGCATAAGCTGAATGTCAATGAAGACCCCAGGGCTGGTATAGAAACTGCGTGGGTTCAAATCCCAGCCCTGGGGTCAGCAGTAGCTCATGCCTGTAATCCCAGGACTTTAGGAGACTGAAGCGGGCAAGTCACTTGGGGTCAGGAGTTCAAGACCAGCCTGGCCAACATGGTGAAACCCCGTTTCTACTAAAAATACAAAAATCATTTGGGAGGCCGAGGTGGGCAGATCACAAGGTCACGAGATTGAGACCATCCTGGCCAACATGGTGAAACCCCCGTCTCTACTAAAATACAAAAAATTAGTCGGGTGTGGTGGCATGCGCCTATAGTCCCAGCTACTTGGGAAGCTGAGGCAGGAGAATTGCTTGAACCCAGGAGGCGGAGGTTGCAGTGGGCCAAGATCGCGCCACTGCACTCCAGCCTGGTGACAGAGCAAAACTCCATCTCAAAAAAAAAAAAAAAGAAAAAAAGCCAGGCGTGGTGGTTCATGCCTGTAATCTCAGCATTTTGGGAGCCAAGGCGGGCAGATCTCCTGAGGTTGGGAGTTCGAGACCAGGCTGACCAACATGGAGAAACCCTGTCTCTACTAAAAATATAAAAAATTAGCTGGGCATGTTGGCGCATGCCTGTAATCCCAGCTACTCGGGAGGCTGAGGCAGGAGAATCACAGGAACCTGGGAGGCGGAGGTTGCAGTGAGCCGAGATCGCGCCACTGCACTCCAGCCTGGGCAACAAGAGTGAAACTCTGACTCAAAACAAAAGAAAACAAACAAACAAAAAATCAGCCAGGCATGGTGGTGCACACCTGTAATCCCAGCTACTTGAGAGGCTGGGGCACGAGAATCGCTTGAACCCGGGAGGTGGAGGTTGCAGTGAGCTGAGATAGCACCACTGCACTCCAGCCTGGGTGACAGGGCAAGACTCCGTCTCAAACAACAAAAAAAACCTACAAATCCCAGCCCTGCCTGGCATTGACTGAGTCACCTTAGGTAAGTGGTTTTGCTGGTCTGTGCCTCTGTTTCTCTGGCTATAATATAGGTACAATGACAGTAGGGTCATTTCAAGGATTAAATGAGAAAAATGCCTGTTGGATACTCAGAGGTCAGGTACATACAGTAAGTGCTTAATGAGTGCTGGTCCCATGCATGAATGGAAGCACTGGGTGAGCATGTGCTTAAGGAAGAAGTGCAGGAGGCCGGATGCAGTGGCTCACGCCTGTAATCCCAGCACTTTAGGAGGTGGAGGTGGGAGGATCGCTTGAGGCTAGGGGTTCGAGACCACATCTTTACAAAAAATTTAAAATTAGGCCAGGCACAGTTGCTGACACCTGTAATCCCAACACTTTGGGAAGCTGAGGCAGGCAGATCACTTGAGGCCAGGAGTTCGAGACCAGCCTGGCCAACGTGGCAAAACCCCATCTCTACTAAAAATACAAAAATTAGCCATGTGGGGTGGTGCATACCTGTAATCCCAGCTACTTGGGAGGCTAAGCAGGAGAATCACTTGAACCCGGGAGATGGAGGTAACAGTGAGGCAAGATCACACCACTGTACTCACTGCCTGGGCGACACACTGCCTGGGCGACAGAGTGAGTGAGACTCCATTTCAAAAAAAAAAAAAATTAGCTGAGCACAGTGGCACGCACCTGTAGTTCCAGCTGCTGTGGAGGCTAAGGCAGGAGACTCATTTAAGCCCAGGAGGTTGAGGCTGCAGTAAGCTATGATTGCACCACTTCACTCCCTTCTGGGCAACAAAATGACACGCTGTCTCTAAAATAAAGAATTAAAAAGCCTACCTTGGCTGAGCAGATCCACCTGGATAGAGCTTGATAGGGAGGAGAGATCTTTGCTACAATTCAGATGACAGACAAGAATGACTTGTCCCAGGCTGGTGGCAGTGCAGGTGAGGAAGGCTCTATGGGCTCAGGGTGGGTTTTGGAGTTGGAGTGGACAGGGCTGGCTAATGGATTGGATGTGAGGGATGACAGAAAGAGGGGAGTCTACAGTGATGGGGTACAGATGGGTTACTATCCGGGTGCAGTCGCTCACGCCTGTAATCTCAGCACTTTGGGAGGCCAAGGCGGCCGGATCATGAGGTCAGGAGTTCAGGACCAGCCTGACCAACATGGTTAAACCCCGTCTCTACTAAAAATACAAAAATGAGCCGGGCATGGTGGTGCGCACCTGTAATCCCAGCTACTCAGGAGGCTGAGGCAGGATAATCGCTTGAACCTGGGAGGCAGAAGTTGCAATGAGCCGAGATTGCACGTGGTGGTTCATCCCTATAATCCTAGCACTTTGGGGGGCCAAGGGAGGTGGATCGCTTGAGCTCAATAGTTGTAGACAGGCCTGGGCAACATGGTGAAACCTGATCTCTACAAAAAATACTAAAATTAGATGGGCATGGTGGTGTGTGCCTGTAGTCCCAGCTACTTGGGAGGCTGAGGTGGGAGGAACACCTGACCCCAGTAGGTTGAGGCTGCAGTGAGCCATGATCATGCCACTGCACTCCAGCCTGGATGACAAAGTGAGTCCCTGTTTCCAAAAAAGAAAGAAAAAGAACAGAGAGTGAATGGTGGTTACCAGGGGCTAGAGTGGAGGGACTGGGGAGATGTTAGTCAAAGGCTATACACTTTCAGTTAGACAGGAATACAGTCAAGAGATGTCTTCTACAGTATGGTGACTATAGCTAATAACAATGTATCGTATACTTGAAAATCACTGAGAGAGATTTTAAGTGTTCTTGTCACACACAAAAATAGGCATGTGAGGTAATATATATGTTAATTCACTCCATTTAGCCATTCTGAAATGTATATGTACTTCAAAACATCATGTCATACACCATAAATACGTACAATTTTAATTTGTCAATTAAATAAATTTTAGGCCAGTGCAGTGACTCACCTCTATAATCCCAGCACTTTGGGAGGCTGAAGTAGGTGGATCACTTGAGGCCAGAAGTTTGAGACCAGCCTGGCCAACATGGTGAAACCCCATCTCTATTAAAAATACAAAATCTAGCCGGGCATGGTGGCATGGGCCTGTAGTTTCAGCTACTCAGGAGGCTGAATAGGAGAATCACTTGAACTCAGGAGGCGGAGGTTGTAGTGAGCCGAGATTGCACCACTGCACTCCAGCCTAGGTGACAGAGTGAGACTCCATCTCAAAACAAAACTAAACTAAACTAAACAAAAAATTAGCCAGGTGTGGTGGCATGCACCTATAGTCCCAGCTACTTGGGAAACTGAGGTAGAAGGATCCCTTGAGCCCAGGAGTTCAATACTGCAGGGAGCTATTGATCGCACCACTGCACTCCAGCCTGGACAGCAGAGTGAGACCCTATCTCTATTTTTTAATTAATTAATTAACTAACAACAACAAAAAGCAAATGGGCATGGATGCATCTCAATTAAAAAGAAATAGTTGGTGACTGAGGCCATGATCTCATCTGAAAGCTCGACTGGGGAGGATCCACTTTCAAGCTCATGAGTTGTTGGCAGGATCAGTTGCCCACTGGCTGTTGGTCAGAGGCCTCTTCTGGTTCCTGGCCTTGTGACCCTCTCCGATGGGCAGCTCACAGCCTGGCAGTTGGCTTCCCTCAGAGTGAGCAGAAGAGAGGGCAAGAAAGGGAGTGCATCCAGCTGGGCACAATGGTTCACGCCTGTAATCCCAGCACTTTGGGAGGCTGAGGTGGGTGGGTGAGGTCTGGAGTCCAAAACCAGCCTGACCAACATGGTGAAACCCCATCTCTAGTAAAAATAAAAAATTAGCTGGGCATAATGGCCCATGCCTGTAATCCCAGCTACTTGGGAGGCTGAGGCAGGAGAATCACTTGAACCGGGAGGTGGAGGTTGCAGTGAGCAGAGATTGCACCATTGCACTCCAGCCTGGACGACAGAGCAAGACTCCATCTCCAAAAAAAAAAAAAAAAGGGAGTGCACCCAAGATGAAAGGCGTGGTCTTTTTTGTGACCTAATTTTAGAAGTGACATTGCATCGATTTTGCCACATTCTATGGGCAGGAAGCAAGTCATAGAGTCTAACCACACTCAAGGGTAGGGCATTAATGCAAGGGTTGGAACATTGAGGGCCATCTTAGAGGCTGTCCCTACACCATGCACGTCAATCCAGTGGCTTCATACCACCTGTACCTGTGACTCTTTGCCTGACAGCTTTGCTCTGGTGCATGCAGGCAGCCAGAAGTTCTGGAGAATTCATTTTCCCTGCTAGCATACCTCAACTAACAATGGCTGGGAGTTGGAGGATAAATACCCCAGCTCCCTCACCCTTTGCATAAGATAACTCTCAGGGTTTGTCCAAGATGAGTTAAGACCTAGATATCGCAGAATAACCTGCTCATTTCCACATGATGTACTGGCTGCCCTCCCTTCTGCATCTCATCTCCTCCATCCCCTGCCAGCACTCCCTGCAATCACCTTACAGATAAACCACTTTTACTCAAATCAGAGTGTCTCAGGTACACTTCTGAAGCACCCAACTGTATTAGTTTTCTAGTGCTGCTGCAATAAATTACCACAAACTTGGTGGTTTGAAGCAACATAAGTTTGTTATTCTCTTACAGTTCTGCAGGCTCAAAGTCCAAAGTCAAGGTGTTGGCAGGGCTGGGCTCCCTTTGAAGGTTCTAGGGAAGAATCCTTCCTTGTCTCTCTCCTAGATTTTGGTAGCTCCTTGTAATCCTTGGTGTTCCTCAACTCAAAGCTGCATCATTCCAGTCATTCCATGGAGAGGCTTCCATGGTCTCTGTGTGTCTCTGTGTCCTCTCCTCTTCTTAGATGGACACTTGTCATTGGATTTAGGGCTCATTCTAGTCCAGTAAGACTTCATCTTTTTTTTTTTTTTTTTAAGAGACAGGGTCTTACTCTGTCACTCAGGCTGGAGTGCAGTGGCACAATCATGGCTCACTGCAGCCTCCAATTTTTGGGCTCAAGCAATCCTCCCATCTTGGCCTCCTAAGTAGCTGGGACTACAAGTGTGTGCCACATGCCTGGCTAATTTTTTAAAATTTTTGGCTGGGTGTGGTGGCTCACAACTGTAATCCCAGCATTTTGGGAGGCTGAGGAGAGTGGATCATTTGAGCTGAGGAGTTAGAGACCAGCTTGGCCAACATGGTGAAACTTCATCTCTACTAAAAATACAAAATTAGCTGGGCGTGGTGGTGCATGCCTATAATCCCATGTACTTGGGAGGCTGAGGCAAGAGAATCACTTGAACCCAAGAGGCGGAGGTTGCAATGAGGAGAGATCGTGCCACTGCACTCTAGCCCGGGCTGCAGAGTGAGACTCTGTCTCAAAAAACAAAACAAAACAAAAAGCCCAGGTGTGGTGGCTCACACCTGTAATCCCAGCACTTTGGGAGGTCAAGGCGGGCGGATCACGAGGTCAGGAGATTGAGACCGTCCTGGTTAACATGGTGAAACCCCATCTCTACTAAAAATACAAAAACAACAACAACAAAAAAAAACATTAGCCAGGCGTGGTGGCGGGCGCCTGTAGTCCCAGCTACTTAGGAGGCTGAGGCAGGAGAATGGCGTGAACCTGGAAGATGGAGCTTGCAGTGAGCCGAGATCGTGCCACTGGACTCCAGCCTGGGTGACAGAGCGAGACTCAGTCTCAAAAAAAAAAAAAATTTTTATTTTTGTAGAGACAAGGTTTCATTATGTTGCCCAGGCTGGTGTCAAACCCCTGGCCTCAAGTGATCCTCCCACCTCAGCGTCTTGCATAGCTGGGAATACAGGCTCAAGCCACAGTGCTGGGCTAGTAAGATCTTATTTTAACTTAACTAATGACATCTGCAAAGATGCTATTTCCAAATATGGTCACATTCTGAGGCTCCAGGTAAACATGAATTTTGTCAGGGGAGGAAGACACTATTCCAGCTCCTGCACCAATAGAGGACGATGATGTGTCATTAACTGATTTGGGGAGGACACAGGAGGGGGGAGGACAGAGGAGGGGGGAGGACAGAGGAGGCGGAGGACAGAGGAGGGGGGAGGACAGAGGAGGGGGGAGGACAGAGGGGCGGGGAGGACAGAGGAGGGGAGGACAGAGGAGCGGGGAGGACAGAGGAGCAGGGAGGACAGAGGAGCGGGGAGGACAGAGGAGGAAACAGGTCTGGAGTGTGATGAAGAGTCTGCTTCCGGTGTGATACTTGGGTGTGCCCACTGGGTTTCCAGCAGAGACATCTGGGGGGCAGGTGAAGGTCAGCAGAGAGGTGAGAGGTGGGGGACGCCACTGGGAGCTGTCGGGTGTAAGTGGCATTTATTTATTTATTTATTTATTTATTTATTTATTTATTTATTTATTTTTGAGATGGAGTTTCACTCTTGTTGCCCAGGCTGGAGTGCAGTGGCGAGATCTCAGCTCACTGCAACCTCCACCTTCCGGTTTCAAGTGATTCTCCTGCCTCAGCCTCCTGAGTAGCTGGGATTACAGGTGCCTGCCACTATGCCCGACTACCTTTTGTGTTTTTAGTAGAGATGGGGTTTCACCATGTTGGCCAGGCTGGTCTCAAACTCCTAACCTCGGCCTCCCAAACTGCTGGGATTACAGTGAGCCACCACGCTCAGCCCAGCATTTATTTTATTTTTATTTATTAATTGTTTTCTTTTTTTTTTCTTTTTAGACAGAGTCTCGCTCTGTTGCCCAGGCAGGAGGGCAGTGGTGCAATCTTGCCTCACTGCAAGCTTTGCCTTCCGGGTTCACGCCATTCTCCTGCCTCAGCCTCCCGAGTAGCTGGGACTACAGGTGCCCGCCACCACACCTGGCAAATTTTTTGTATTTTTAGTAGAGACGGGGTTTCACCATCTTGGCCAGGCTGGTCTCGAACTCCTGACCTCGTGATCTGCCCGCCTGGACCTTCCAAAGTTCTGGGATTACATGCGTGAGCCACTGTGCCCAGCCTATTTTATTTTATTTTAATCATTTTTTTCTTGAGACAGAGTCTCGCTCTGTCGCCCAGGCTGGTGAGCAATGATCCGATCTTGGCTCTTGGCTTTCTCTTCAAGGCTAAGATTGGGAGATGAAGAGGAATCACAGAAGAGACTAAGAAGTGGTGGCCTTGGAGGTGGGAGGGGAAGCTGGGAGTGCACAGTCCTAGAGGCTGAGAAACGACCATCAGGTTGGGCAGGATGGAGCCCTTCTAGTGGCCGAGTGGGAACAAAATACTGAAAGGAGAGGATCAGAGAGAGGACGAGAGAAGAGCAGCCGGACCCAGTGATAACTCTTGGGATGTTTTGCTAGGAAAGGGAATGTATTCTAGTCCTCTCTTTGCATCCTGTAGGATTGGTTCCAGGACCTCCCTGGATACCAAAATCCACAGATGCTCAAGTTTCTTTTATAAAACAGCATAGTATTTGCATATCACCTATGCACATCCTGCTGTATATATACATACATGTGTATATATGCTGTATACATGTATGTATATATACACATATATGTATATGTATACATATGTGTGGCTAGAGTGCAGTGGCGCGATCTTGGCTCACTGCAACCTCCACCTCCCGGCTTCAAGTGATTCTCAGGCCTCAGCCTCCCGAGTAGCGAAGATTACAGGCACGTGCCACCATGACTGGCTAATTTTTTTGTATTTTTAGTAGAGACGGGGTTTCACCATGTTGGCCAAGCTAGTCTTGAACTCCTGGCCACAAGTGATCCGCCTCCCTCATTTTTATTTTTTAATTTTTATCATTTTCTGAATCCGGGCTGCAGAGAATGTATTTTTTTTTACTGTTGTGATATTTTTAACCATAAAGATAATTGTTAAAATAATAAAATAATTAAACATAGGCCGGGCACGGTGGCTCACGCCTGTAATCCCAACACATTGGGAGGCCGAGGCAGCGGATCACGAGGTCAGGAGATCAAGAGGTCAGGAGATCAAGACCATTCTGGCTAACATGGTGAAACCCCGTCTCTACTAAAAATACAAATAAATAAATAAATAAATAAATAGCCGGGCATGGTGGCACATGCCTGTAGTCCCAGCTACTCGGGAGGCTGAGGCAGGAGAATCACTTGAATCCGGGAGGTGGAGGTTGCAGTGAGCTGAGATTGTGCCATTGCACTCCAGCCTGGGTGACAGAGCGAGACTCCATCTAAAAAAAAAAAGAAAATAATAATAATAATACAAAAAATTAGCCAGGCGTGGTGGCGGGTGCCTGTAGTCCCAGCTACTCAGGAGGCTGAGGCAGGAGAATGGCGTGAACCTGGGAGGCGGAGCTTGCAGTGAGCCAAGATCGCACCACTGCACTCCAGCCTGGGCGACAGAGTGAGACTCTGTCTCAAAACTAAATAAATAAATAATAATAATAATTTAAAATAATAAAAATGATAAATAGATAAAATATGGTTTGTTTTGTTTGTTTGTTTGTTTGTTTGTTTGGATAGAGTCTTGCTTTATCACCCAGGCTGGATTGCAGTGGTGCAATCATCACTCAGTGCAACCTCAACCTCCCAGGCTGAAGCAATTCTCCTGCCTTGGCCTCTCGAGTAGCTGGGACCACAGGTGTGCGCCACCCACTGGACTTATTTTGTTAATGTTTTTTGTAGAGATGGGGGTCTTGCTACTTTGCCCAGGCTGCTCTCCAACTCCTGGGCTCCAACAACCCGCCCACCTCAGCCTCCCAAATTCTTGGGACTATAGACATGAGCCAGCATGGCTAGCCAGGGTTTTTGTTGTTGTTTTTTGTTTTTCTTTTTGTTTTTTTTAGACAGGATCTCACTCTGTTGCCCAGGCTGGAGTGCAATGGCATGATCTTGGCTCACTGCAACCTCCACCTCCCAGGTTCAAGCGACTCTCCTGCCTCAGCCTCCTAAGTAGCTGGGACTACAGGTGTCTGCCACCACGCCCAGCTAATTTTTTTCTATCTTTAGTAGAGACAGGGTTTCACCATGTTGGCCAGGCTGGTCTCAAACTCCTGACCTCAAGTGATCTGCCTGCCTCACCCTCCCAAAGTGCTAGGATTAGGGTTTTTTTCCCTAATGTTTTCCATTCACAGTTTGTTGAATCCTGGATAAGGAACCCGTGGCTATGGAGGGCCAACTATAATATTTCCTGTGACTGTTGTAACCAATGCCCACAAACTAGGTGGCTTCAGGACAGCAGAAAACAAAACAATACGACTATTATATATCAATAAAATATAATTTCAAAACAAAAACAAAAAAAACACATTTATTTTCTTACAGTTCTGGATCCCTTAAGTCCCAAATCAGTATCATTAGCCCCAAGTCAAGGTGGCCCTCTGGAGGCTCTAGGGGAGGATCCTTTCTGCCTCTTCAAGCCTCTGGTGGCTCCCAGCATTCCTTGGCTTGTGGCTGCATCACTCCAGTTTCTGCCACCATTGTCACATGGACTTTTTCCCTGTGTCTCTGTGTCTGGTTCCCTTTTTTTCTTTTTCGTTTCCTTTTTTTTTAAATTTTTTTGAGACGGAATCTCGCTCTGTCACCCAGCCTAGACTGAAGCGGTACAATCATGGCTCACTGCAGCCTCGACCTCCTAGGCTCAAGGGATCCTCCCACCTCAGCCTCCTGAGTAGCTGGGACTACAGGCACACACCACCAAGCCCCACTAATTTTTAAAAACTTTTTTCTAAAGACAGGGGTCTCACTATGTTGCTCAGGCTGATCTCAAACTCCTGGGCTCAAGTGATCCTCCCAACTCAGCCTCCCAAGGCTCTGGGATTACAGGTGTGAGTCACGGTGGCCTCTCCATTCTTTTCTGATGACATTTTTTCTTTCTTTCTTTTTTTTTTCCCTCTGGCTCTGTGACCCATGCTGGAATGCAGTGGCATGATCTTGGCTCACTGCAGCCTCTGCCTCCCCAACTCAAGTGATCTGATCTTCCCACCTCAGTCTTTCAGGTAGTTGGGACTACGGACGCCCGCCACCACACCTGGCTAATTTTTGTATTTTTAGTAGAGACGGGGTTTCACCACGTTGGTCAGGCTGGTCTTAAACTCCTGACCTTCGGTGATCCACCTGCCTCAGCCTCCCAAAGTGCTGGGATTACAGGCGTGAGCCACCGCACCCGGCCAGGACACTTATTAATAGATTTAGAGCCCATTCTAATTCAGGATGATCTCATGTCAGGATTCTTCACATAAATACAACTTCAAAGACCCTTTGTCCAAATAAGATCACACGTACAGGCTCTGGGGGTTAGGATATGAATGTACATTTTTGGAGGACTGTCATTCAACCAACTGTAGGGAGTAAACGGATGGGGCTGGGGTGGGGAGATGACTTGGCAAGCCAAGTGCTTTGGTGTGAATGTTTGTGTCCCCCCAAATTTATATGTTGAAATCTTTTTTATCTTTTTTTTTTTTTTTTTTTGAGATGGAGTCTCATCACCCTGTTGCTCAGGCTGGAGTGCAGTGGCGCAATCTCGGCTCACTGCAAACTCCACCTCCTGAGTTCCAGTGATTCTCCAGCTTCAGCCTCCGGAGTAGCTGGGATTACAGGCGCCCACCACCATACCTGGCTGATTTTTGCATTTTTAGTAGGGATGGGGTTTTTGGTATGTTGCCCAGGCTGGTCTTAAACTCCTGAGCTCAAAGCAATCTGCTCACTTTGGCCTCCTAAAGTGCTGGGATTACAGGTGTGCACCACCATGCCTGGCCAATATATGTTGAAATCTTAACCCCCCAGGTCGTGGTGTTAAGAATTGGGGCCTATGGGAGATGAGGAGGGTGGAGACCTCGTGAATGGGACCTGTGCCTTCACACAAGAGGCTGGAGAGAGACCTCATGCCCTGTGAGATGAGAGGGCGAGAACGCTAACATCTTTGTCTATAAAAAGAGCCTGGCTGGGTGTGGTGGCTCATGCCTGTAATCCCAGCACTTTGGGAGGCCAAGGCAGGCAGATCACCTGAGGCCAGGAGTTTGAGACCAGCAAGTTCACCCATAGTGAAACCCTGTCTCTACTAAAAATACAAAAATTAACTGGCATGGTGGTGCATGCCTGTAATCCTATCTACTAGGGAGGTTGAGGCGGGAGAATCACTTGAACCCTGGAGGCGGAGGCTGCAGTAAGCCGAGATCACGCCACTGCACTCCAGCCTGGGCAACAGAGTGAGACCCTGTCTCAAAAAAAAAAAAAAAAAAGAAAAAAAAAAGTCTCAATGCCGGAGGAATGGAAGACTCTGCTCAGGAACAAGACAAAAGTCCTCAAGTCTCTGGCCACTCCCCACGCCATTCCCCAGGACCCCAGCATCCCCCGCCCCCACTATCCTTGGCTCCATGACTGTTCTCCCAGGTCAGAGCCCACATCACACTCTTTCAACCTCCAGAAGTTTGCCCAGGAAGTCTCTCCACCTGACTGGCCTTCCCTCCCACAACTCCCTCTGTCTGCCTATCCTTAAAGTAGCAGCCAGGGTGACCCTTCTGAAGGGGGTTTGGGTTATGCCAAGATCTCTTCTTCCCTCCCCTCCCCTCCCCTCCCCTTCCCTTTCCTTCCTTTCTCTTCTGACAGAGTCTCACTCTGTCCCTCAGGCTGAAATGCAGTGGCACAATCTCGGCTCACTCCAACCCCCGCCTCCCAGGTTCAAGGAATTCTCCTGCCTCCTCCTGAGTAGGTGGGATTACAGGCATGAGCCACCACCCCTGGCTAATTTTTGTATTTTTAGTAGAGACGGGGTTTCACCATGTTGGCCAGTTTGGTCTCGAACTCCTGGCCTCAAGTGATCCACCCACTTCGGCCACCCAAAGTTCTGGGATTACAGGCATGAACCACCATGCCCAGCCTTCTTTTCTTTTTGAGATGGGATCTTTTTCTGTGGCCCAGGCTGGAGTACAATGGCATGATCATAGCTCACTGCAGCCTCAAATTCTTAGGTCCAAGTGATCCTCTTGCCTCAGCCTCCCAAGTAGCTGGGACTAGAAGGCATGTGCCACCACGCCCAGCTAATTTTTAAATTTTTTTTTAGAGTTGGTGGTCTTGCTATGTTGTCCAGGCTGGTCCCAAACTCCTGGCCTCAAGCGATCCTCCTGCCTCAGCCTCCCAAAGTGCTGGGATTGTAGCTGTGAGCCACCATGCTCAGCCCAGCCCTGCCAAGATCCGTTTTCCATTCCCGTGGCACTCAACAGTCTCCTCAGAGCAGTTTCCACAATTGTAATTACCTAGTTTGGCAGAGTGATGTCTTAATGTTGCTCTCTCTGCTTCTAGAATGTGAGCCCCCAGAGAGGTCAGGGCCTGGGAGATTTATTCATTTACATATCCCACGCACCTAGTCAGGCATAGCACACAGTTAGTGCTTAATATATGTGCCCAGGAGGTTTGCAAATGAATCCCTTTCGGCCAGGCACGGCGGCTCACGCCTGTAATCCCAGCACTTTGGGAGGCCAAGGTGAGTAGATCACTTGAGGTCAGGAGTTCAAGATCAGCCCGGCCAATATGGCGAAACTCTGTCTCTACTTAAAATACAAAACTTAGCCAGGCATGCTGGCGGGCGCCTGTAATCCCAGCTACTCAGGAGGTTGAGGCAGAAGAATCGCTTGAACCAGGGAGGTGGAGATTGCAGTGAGCCGGGATTGCACCACTGCACTCCAGCCTGGGCAATAGAGCAAGACTCAGTCTCAAAAAAAAAAAAAAAAAAAAAAAAAAAAAGGAATCCCTTTTGTCCAGGCAAGTGGGATGCACTGGTTCTCTGACCAGCAATTCCCCAATTCCCCAACTGGACGGGTCACTTGGTGTCCCAGTGGAATATTCGGGAATCTTCTCTAAGGCAACAGGACACACACACACACACACACACACGCACAATCACACACACACACACAAAATGAACCCCCCCTCCTCAATTTCTTTACCAACTATTTTTCCCCCCAGGCAGAAAATGAACCATTATTAAAACAACACGGCAACCGGCCGGGAAAACCCATTTACAGCGATTTATATCGCTTCGCTGCGGCTGCCGAGAGGAAATGGGAGGAGAAGCTCGAGGTTTAAGCACTGGGTGAAAAATCACATTCCATCAGAGGAAGAACAGATGGGTGTTTTTTTCCTCCCCTTTCTCCCCCTTGCTTGGGCTCGGAGTCAGGAATCTATGTCAGCCGTGGGTTTGTTCTTGGTGTGATAGGGTGATTCTGGGGAGACAGAGGCCCAGCCAGGCTGCTGGGTCCCAGGGAGCAAGCGGTGGCTTGTGAGCCACTGAGGACCCCCGCTCCCCATCCTCCATCCTCCTGCCCACCCGCTCTGTCTCCTGGGCCTGTAGGCTGCCGATCTGAGCCCCATCCCCCATCCTGCTATTTTAATTTTTACATTTTCTCATCACCCCCTGGAATTACCGTCTCTCCTTATTTCCTTCCTCCTTCACAGTCTTTTTCCTTGAAGGCAGGGCCATGTCTGTCCTGTTCGTCGTTGCATCCTTAGTGCATTGAACACATAGCAGTGGCTCCCATATCTGCAGACAACCACTAACCCTCTGCCACGGTCCCACCATCACGGCTGCCATCCTATCCTAACCTTACTAAGGACACCTTCCCCCTCTCCCCGGCGGCTGTGAGCGCGCTGGAAGACGGGGGCTGTTTAGTTTGTTTCCTTCATGGATGGATCTACTGTCCCTCCACCCCCAAAGAAAGCCTGATTCACAGCTTTCTGGGTGTTGGGATTGGGGGATGGGGACAGACAGGCATGACTGAGTCATTCAGCTGTTTAAAAGCTATCACTGACTTCTTCAAAATTGAAAAATGTTATCGTGGCTCCAAAGGTCCTTTCCAACCTAGACCCAAAACACCTGTTCAGTTTAAACCACGCCCCCTCCACCGCGCCAGCCCCGACAAACATGCTGGCACCCGCCTAGGCACCACCTAGTCAAACCCCCTGGCCCATGTGGTCCCCAACTCACCCATGATGCTTTGCATCGCCTTCACTAAATGCCCCGCCCCTCCCTCTGTGTCCGCCCCAGAGCTGAATCCAGCCCACAGATGTAATTGGCTTGGTCCATGCAGGCTTTAAAAACATTTTGTAATGACTTGCTAGCTTTTATTTATTTATTTATTTATTTATTTATTTATTTATTTATTTATTTATTTTTGAGATGGAGTCCCACTCTGTCACCCAGGCTGGAGTGCAGTGGCGCGATCTTGGCTCACTGCAAGCTCTGCCTTGCGGGTTCACGCCATTCTCCTGCCTCAGCCTCCCGAGTAGCTGGGACTACAGGCGCCCCCCACCACGCCCGGCTAATTTTTTGTATTTTTAGTAGAGACGGGGTTTCACCGTGTTAGCCAGGATGGTCTCGATCTTCTGACCTTGTGATCTGCCCACCTCGGCCTCCCAAAGTGCTGGGATTACAGGCGTGAGCCACCGCGCCCGGCCCATGACTTGCTAGCTTTTAAATACAGGCTGCTTTTTCATTGTTGTTGTTGTTGTTTTTGTTTTTGAGATGGCGTCTCGCTGTGTCGCCCAGGCTGTAGTGCAGTGGTGTGATCTCTGCTCACTGCAACCTCTGCCTCCTAGGTTCAAGCGATTCTCCTGCCTCAGCCTCCCAAGTAGCTGGGATTACAGGCAAAGGCCACCAGGCCCAGCTAGTTTTTTTCTATTTTTAGTAGAGGCAGGGTTTCACCATGTTGGTCAGGCGGCCTTGAGCTCTTGAACTCAAGTGATTCGCCCCCCTCAGCCTCCCAAAGTGCTGGGATTACAGGCCTGAGCCACCAGTGCCAGACCTCAGGTGATTTTTGCATAAAAATCTGGATGCCTGACTTCCTCTAAAGATGAAATCTTGTCTGGGCGTGGTGGCTCATGCCTGTAATCCCAGCACTTTGGGAGGCCTAGATGGGCAGATCACCTGAGGTCAGGAGTTCGAGACCAGCCTGGCCAACATGGCAAAACCTTGTCTCTACTAAAAATGCAAAAATTAGCCAGGTGTGGTGGCACGTGCTTGTAATCCCAGCTACTCGGGAAGCTGAGGCAGGAGAATTGCTTGAACCTGGGAGACGGAGGTTGCAGTGAACCGAGATTGTGCCACTGCACTCCAACCTGGGTGACACAGCAAGACTTGTCTCAAAAAAAAAAAAAAAACACAACTGAATTAAATGAGTTCATGCTATATAAGGAACGGGCTTAGCAAGTGCTGATAAATGTTACTCATTCTTATCATTATTTGCCATAGTCCCACCCCCCCTTACTGTCTCCCTGACACTGAAGCTGTTCCGTTGCTGGTGCAGTCAGTCTTTTTATCTTGGCTGCTTGGCGTATTTATATTACCTACTGGCTGTCCCTGTAGGTTTGTGGCATGCTCCAGCTCAGTTCTGGGTCATCACCTCTGCTATAAAGAGGTTCCCCAGTCTGGGCATGGTGGCTCAAGCCTGTAATCTCAGCACTTTGGGAGGCCAAGACAGGAGGATGGCTTGAAGCCAGGAGCTCAAGACTAGCCTGGGCAACACAGTGACACCCCATCTCTACAAAAAATAAATAAATAATTAGCCATGCATGATAGCATGTGCCTGTAGTCCCAGCTACTCGGGAGGCTGAGGCAGGAGGATCGCTTGAACCCAGGAGGTCGACTGCGCCACTGCATTCTAGCCTGGGTGACGAAGAGAGGTCCTGTCTAAAAAAAAAAAAAAGAAGAAAAGAAAAAAAAGCCTCTCTGGTCCTCCACCTCACTGTCCATCCGTTTCTCAACACTCCCCATTTTCGAGTTTCCCTCCCCCTCCACTGTACCACGGGCCCTTCCTGACGCTTCATCAAGTGCTTGTGGAATTGGATATCAGGGCCTGTGTTCATTTCCTGGGGCTGCTGAAATACATTACCATAAACTAGGTGGCTGGAAACAACAAGAATTTATTATTTCACCATTCCGGAGGCCAGAGGTTGCAATCAGGGTGGTGCAGGGCTGCAATCCCTCCGAAGGCACTAGGTGAGGATTCGTCCTTTTTTCTTCCAGCCTCTGATGGTTCCTTGCTTGTGTCTGTACTGCTGAAAGCCCTGCCTGTCTTCACTTGGCCTTCTTCTCTGTGTCTAACCCCCTTCTCTTCTAAGGTCATTTATCATTGGATTTTGGGCCACCCTAATCCAGGATGATCTCATTGCAAAATCCTTAACTTAATTACATCTGCAAAAACGCTTTGTCCAAATAAGGTCACTGCTATGGTTTGAATGTCTGTGTCCCTTCCAAATCCATATGTTGGAAGAGTTGGGGTTCTTGGGAAGTGATTAGGCCAGGAGGGCCCCATTCTCATGGGTGAGATTATTGCCCTTATAATTGAGTGTGACAGTTTGGAGATTTCTCAAACAATTTAAAATTCTTCTATTTTATTTGACCCAGCAATCCCATTACTGGGTATATACTCAAAGGAATATAAATTGTTCTACTATAAAAACACATGCACATGTATGTTCATTGCAGCACTATTCACAATAGCAAAGACTTGGAATCAGCCTAGGTGCCCGTCAATGGAGGATTGGATAAAGAAAATGTGGTACATATGCACCATGGAATACTATGCAGCCATTAAAAAAGAATGAGGCCGGGCATGGTGGCTCATGGCTGTAATCCCAGCATTTTCGGAGGCCAAGGTGGGTGGATCACTTGAGGCCAGGAGTTCGAGACCAGCCTGGTTAACATGGCAAAACCCCGTCTCTACAAAAAAATACAAAAATTAGCAGGGTATGGTGGCAGGTGCCTGTAGTCCCAGCTACTTGAGGGGCTGAGGCAGGAGAATTGCTTGAACCTGGGAGGCGGAGGTTGCAGTGAGCCGAGGTCACGACACTGCACTTCAGCCTGGGTGACAGAATGAGATTGTCTCAAAAAAAAAAAAAAAAAAAAAAAGAATGAGATTATATCCTTTGCAGCAATATGGATGGAGCTGGAGGCCATTCTCCTAAGTCAACTAATGCAGGAACAGAAAACCAAATACCACACGTTTTCACTTATAAGTGGTAGTTAAACACTGAGTACACATGGACACAAAGGTGAGAACAACAGGCCAGGCACAGCGGCTCACGCCTGTAATCCCAGCACTTTGGGAGGCTGAGGCAGGTGGATCACTTGAGGTCAGGAGTTCGAGACCAGCCTGGCCAACATGGTGAAACCCCATTTCCACTAAAAATACAAAAACTAGCCAGGCGTGCTGGCACACACCTATAATCTCAGCTACTAGGGAGGGTGAGGCAAGAGAATCTCTTGAACCCGGAAGGCAGAGGTTGCAGTCAGCCGAAATTATGCCAGTGCACTCTACCCTGGGCAACGGAGCAAGACTCCATCTCAAAAAAAAAAAAAAAAAAGATGGGAACAACAGACACTGGTGTCTATTTGAGGGTGGAAGGTAAAAGGAGGGTCAGGATTGAAAAACTACCTGTTGGGTGTTATGGTGATTACCTGGGTGACAAGATTATCTGTATACCAAACTCCTGCAAAACACAATTTACCCAAATAAGAAACTTGGACATGTGCCCCCTTGAACTTAAAACAAACATTGGATAAATAAATAAATAAATAAATAGGCCAGGCACAGTGGCACACGCCTGTAATCCCAGCAATTTGGGAGGCTGAGGCAGACGGATCACTTGAGCTCACTAGTTCGATACCAGCCTGGACAACATGACAAACCCCATCTCTACAAAAAATACAAAAATTGGCCGGGTGCGGTCGCTCACACCTGTAATCTCTGCACTTTGGGAGGTCGAAGCGGGTGGATCATGAGGTCAGGAGATCAAGACCATCTTGGCCAACATGGTAAAACCCCGTCTCTATTAAAAATAGAGAAAATTAGCCAGGCATGGTGGCAGACACCTGTAATCCCAGCTACTCGGGAGGCTGAGGCAGGAGAATCACTTGAACCTGGGAGGCGGAGGTTGCAGTGAGCCGAGATCACGCCACTGCACTCCAGCCTGGTGACAGAGTGAGACTCCGTCTGAAAAAAAAAAAAAATCAGTTGGGTGTAGTGGTGCGCACCTGTAGTCCCAGCTGCTCCCTGGGAGGCTGAGGTGGGGGGATGGCTTGAGCCCGGGAAATGGAGGTTGCGGTGAGCCGAGATCGCACCACTGCACTCCAGCCTGGGTAATAGAACCAGATCTTGTCTCAAATAAACAAATAAATAAAATAAAAATAACTCGCTTGGCCAGGTGCGGTGGCTCACACCTATAATCCCAGCACTTTGTGAGGCTGAGGTGGGTGGATCACCTAAGGTCAGGAGTTCAAGAACAGCCTGGCCAACAGGGCAAAACCCCATCTCTACTAAAAATACAAAAGTTAGCCAGGCATGGTGGCGCACACCTGTAATCCCAGCTACTCAGGAGGCTGAGGCAGGAAAATCGCTTGAACCTGGGGGGTGGAGTGGGCTCTCACCAGACACCAAATCTGCTAGTGCCTTGATCTTGGACTTCCTGGCCTCCAGAACTGTAAGCAATACATTTCTACTGGCTGGGTGCAGTGGCTCACACATGTAATCCCTGCACTTTGGGAGGCCGAGGTGGGCAGATCACCTGAGGTCAGGAGTTCCAGACCAGCCTGGCCAACGTGGCAAAACCCCGTCTCTACTAAAAATACAAAAATTAGCCGGGTGTGGTGGCGGGCGCCTATAATCCCAGCTACTTGGGAGGTTGAGACAGGAGAATCGCTTGAACCCGGGAGACCGAGGTTGCAGCGAGCCGAGATCTCGTCACTACACTCCAGCCGGGGTGACAGAGCGAGACTCTGCCTCAAAAAAAAAAAAGAAAAAGAAAAAATTCTATTACAGTTGACCTTTGAACAACACGGGCTTGAGCCATAACTGCCTGAGTCCCCTTGTAAGTGGATGTTGTTCCGCCTCTGCCACCCCTGAGACAACCCCTCTTCTTCCTCTTCCTCCTCAGCCTATTCCATCGGAAGACTCGTGGATGAAGACGGTTATGGTAATCCACTTCCACTTCATGAACGGTAAATACATTTTCTCTTTCTCATGATTTTCATACCATTTCTTTTTTCTAGCTTACTTTATTCTAAGAATACTGTATGTAATATATAGAACATACAGAATACGAGTTCATGGATTGTTTATGTCATTGGTAAGGCTTTTGATCAACCATAGGCTATCAGTGGTTAAGTTTTTGGGAAGTCCAAAGTTATATGCAGGCCAGGTGCAGTGGCTCACGCCTATAATCCCAGCACTTTGTGAGGCTGAGGCAGGAGGATCACTTGAGCCGGGAGTTCAAGACCACATTGGGCAACATAGCGAAACCCTATCTCTACAAAAAATATGAAAGTTAGCTGGGTGTTGTGGTGTGCGCCTGTGGTCCCAGCTACTCGGGAGGCCTTAACTTTCTTCTTTTTTTTTTTTTTTTTTTTTTTGAGACGGAGTCTTGTTCTGTCGTCCAGGCTAGAATGCAGTGGCGCGATCTCGGCTCACTGCAAGCTCCGCCTCCCGGGTTCACACCATTCTCCTGCCTCAGCCTCCCGAGTAGCTGGGATTACAGGGCCCGCCATCACACCTGGCTAATTTTTGTACTTTTTGGTAGAGCAGAGTTTCACCATGTTGGCCAGGCTGGTCTCAAACTCCTGACCTCCAGTGATCTGCCCGCCTCAGCCTCCTAAAGTGCTGGGATTACAGGCATGAGCCACCGTGCCTGGCCTCCTTAATTTTCTTTGTCTCTCTTCACTCATTCAGTTTTTTATTTTATTTTATTATTTTTTGAGTGGAGTCCTGCTCTGTTGCCCAGGCTGGAGTGCAGTGGTGCAATCTTGGGTCATTGCAACCTCTGCCTCCAGGGTTCAAGCAATTCTCCTGCCTCAGCATCCCGAGTAGTTGGGATTACAGGCACCTGCAGCCACACCCAGCTAATTTTTGTATTTTTAGTAGAGACAGGGTTTCACTATTTTGGCTAGGCTGGTCTCAAACTCCTGAGGTCCGGTGATCTGCCTGCTTCAGCCTCCCAAAGTGCTAGGATTACAGGTGTTAGCCACTGCGCCCGGCCATCATTCAGTTTTTTGAAGCCAACGGAGACTCAGACCCTGCACCCCCAGCCGTGCCCCCAGAAGCCCGCTGTCTTCTCTCTTCCTTGCACCCACGGGAATGGCTCTCCCTCCAGGAGGGATGGGTAGGGGCAAATGCCACCCCGTCCGCCCTTTGTTACCAGGGAGGCCGAACCCACCTCTCTTCACACTGCAGAAGAACTCGGGTGAGCACCCCCACTTTCCCGCAAGCTCGCAGAGAGCATCCTCCGCCCACCCGGCAAGCACCACTTCATCATGCCACCGCCAGGGTGTCAGGCCGGGCGGGGCTGAGCGGTTGTCATTTCTCTAACTCGTCAGAACTCTGCACTTCCTTGACAGTTCGCTGGCTGGCCTCCGACCCGTAGCTGATTTCTTTCCAGGGCTGACAGGTTGGGTTAAGAGGGAGCGCTCCCCTGAGCCGAGACATACTTTCTTTTGCCTCCAAGTTGCGTCATCCCCCACCCTTCACCAAGAACGCCCACAACTCCTGGATGGTGCATTACCCTCCCACCCCCCCACCCCGTCCCCTTCCTTTCCCTCCATTCCCAAATGACGGCAGCCCTGGGGCCAAACTGGCCCCAGATGTGTTGTTTGGCCTGTGTGGTTAACTCCTTGTTTTTAAAAAATTCCTTTTTTAAAAAAAATTAAAAAAAAATTTTAAATTCCTTTTTGGAATAAAATTCACCTAACGTAACACTCGCCATTTTATTTTATATTATTTTTAGAAACAGAATCTCTCTCTGTTTCCCCGGGCTGGAGTGCAGTGGTGCAATCATAGCTCACTGCAACCTCAAACTCCTGGGGTCAAGCGATCCTCCCACCTCAGCCTTCCAAGTAGCTGGGATTACAGGCAGGCTCCATGTTGCCCAGCTAATTAAAAAAAATTTTCGCCGGGCACTGTGGCTCACGCCTGTAATCCCAGCACTTTGGGAGACTGAGGTGGGTGGATAACCTGAGGTCAGGAGTTCGAGACCAGCCTGGCCAACATGGTGAAACCCTGTCTCTACTAAAAATACAAAAATCAGCCAGGTGTAGTGGCACGCGCCTGTAATCCCAGCTACTTGGGAGGCTGAGGCAGGAGAATCGCTTGAACCTGGGAGGCAGAGGTTGCAACGAGCCAAGATCGCACCACTGCACTCCAGCCTGGGCAACAGAGCAAGACTCTGTCTCAAAAAAAAAAAAAAATTTTGTAGAGGTGGGGTCTTGCTATGTTGCCCAGGCTGGTCTCAAACTCCTGGGCTCAAGCAATCCTCCCACCTCTGCTTCTCAAAGTGTTAGGATTACAGGCATGAGCCACTGTGCCCAGCCAAGATTAATTGTACATTTTTTTGTTTTTGTTTTTTGAGACAGAGTCTTGCTGTGACACCCAGGCTGGAGTGCAGTGGTGCGATCTTTGCTCATTGCAACCTCTGCCTCCTGGGTTCAAGTGATTCTCTTGCCTCAGCCTCCTGAGTAGCTGGGACTAGAGGCGTGCACCACCATGCCTGGCTAATTTTTGTATATTTAGTAGAGATAGGGTTTCACCATATTGGCCAGAATGGTCTTGAACTCCTGACCTCAAGTGATCTGCCCGCCTCGGCCTCCCAAAGTGCTGGGATTACAGGCATGAGTCACTGTGCCTGGCCCCAATTGTACATTTTAAAATGTACAATTCACTGGACTTTTGTATACTCAAAGAGTTGTGCAACTATCACCTCTAATTACAGAACATTTCCATCACCCCCAAAAGAAGCCCTATCCCCACTAGCAGTCAATCTCCATTCCCCATCCCCCATCCCCTGGCAACCACCAATCTGTTTCTGTCCCTATGTGTTTACCTGTTTTGGGCATTTCATATAAAGGAAGTCATACACTATGTGACCCTCTGTGTCCGGCTTCTTTCCCTTTTCCAAATGTTTTCAAGGGTCATCCATGTTGTAGAGTTAATGTCTTTATTGTGAAACACATAAATCTTAGGAGCACAGGTCCGTGGATTTTTGAAATACATTTCACCCTTATCACTGTCACCTAGTTCAAGATCAAGAACAGTCCAGTCTCCCAGGAGGCTCCCTGGGCTACTTTCCAGGAAGTGGGCTGCCTCAAAACATCACCAAGCCAGTGGCTTTTTTTTTTTTTTTTTTTTTTTTTGAGACGTAGTCTTGCTCTGTTACCCAGGCTGGAGTGCAGTGGTGCTATCTTTCTTTGCTCACTGCAACCTCTGCCTCCTGGGTTCAAGCAATTCTCCTGCCTCAGCCTCCCACGTAGCTGGGACTATAAGCACACGCCACCATGTCTGGCTAATTTTTTTGTATTTTTAGTAGAGACAGGGTTTCACCATGTTGGCCAGGCTGGGCTTGAACTCCTGGCCTCAAGTGATCCACCCGCCTCGGCCTCCCAAAGTGCTGGGATTACAGGTGTGAGCCACTACACCCGGACCAGTGGCTCCCATCTGATGGTGATTATGCCCCTAACAACAGAAATTTGTCGCAACTGGGGGGTGCTGCTGGTACGTAATGGTTGGAGGCCAGGGATTCTGCTCAACGTCCTACAGTGCACAGGACAGCCCCCATCACGCAGGATCATTTAGCCACAAATGTCAATGAGGCCGAAGTAAGGAAACCCTGGGCTTCCCCAACTCTTTTCATAGGTTACTTCTGCCTGGCCTTGAACAACACAGAATGAAATCACTCGGGGTATTCTCTTTGTTATCTTGCTTCTCCTACTGAACATTATGTCTCTGGGATTCATCCATGCTGTGAATGCGTCAGTAGTATATTCTTTTTCATTGCTGCGTTATATTCCATTATAAGAATGTCCTCCCATTTCTTTTCCACTTGCCAGTCGATGGTCAACTTAAGGGGTGTCTGGTGTTTGGTGATCATGAATGAAGCTGCTAGGCACATCCATGGATATGTCTTTAGGTGACCCTAAGCTCCTGTTCCCACTGGGAATCAACCCAGGAATGGAATTGCTGGGTGGCAGCAATTTAACTTTAGTAGATCCCCATGGGATATTTAAAGCTCAGGGAATTTTGCGCAACAACCGTGATTTCTGGCTTCTCTTGAAGAAGCTATTTTGGCAACATTGAGCCTGAGTTCCCACGTGGTAGCGCACAGCTGGAGCTGAGTGGTAGCAAGCGGGTGCCTAAGGAAAAGGGGGGGTGGTGCAACTTCAGCTACCCTGTCCTTCACCACCGCCTCACACCTGCCCAATTTCTGCATTTTCATTCCCTGGTCAGCATTTGGCTTTGTGTCCCCTGAAATGAGCTCATGCAAGGTTAGGAGTCACCTTCTACCTTCCCGTGGCCATCACCTCTACCTCTCTGGGACCCACCTATAACCCCTCACTCCTATTCCCAACCCCCTTCCCAACCTATCTCCATTCCACAGAGCCTGCAAGCCCCCACATCCACCTTAATCCCAAACACAGGATCCCTTTAGACCTGGCAGGCATTTCTGGGTTGCCGCAGACCCCAACACTCCCTATCACACTATTGCAGCTTGGATCCTGCCGGCTTTTTTCTTGGTAACAGCCTCAGAGCCTCCATATGAGTGGTCCTCTCTGCCCAGATCACCATGAGGGGGACTGCTATTTAAAGCCAGCAGGTCCCTGCCTCAGTTTACCTGTCACTTCCCCAGGGCTGGGCAGCCTTCTTTGTGCCAGGACTGGCCAGTGCCGGGACTGGATCTGTCTCATTCATTGCTGTTTTCCCACCACTCAATTCATTACACAATGAATCCTGGCCCTGAGGCTTGAAGGAGAGAGAGGCAGAGTCAGTGCCAGGTTGAATAAGCCACTTACTGGCCACACGTTCTGCAAAAGCTAGCTGGTGAGCTTGCCAGGCACATCTCACTCCTCAAAGGAGAAGTCCCTCCCCGTTGCTGGTCTGAGGGATCTGGGTCTGAGAAATCCCTCTTCCTCCCCAGAACACACTGGCCAAGTCCAAGTCCAGCAAAGCTTAGGGCTTCTTCCCTGGGATCCTCAACCCCACAGGCCAATCCCACCCCTCAATCGTCCCGGTCTTTTCCATGCATGGTCTAAATTTCCTCCAGTGGAGCCACCAGGGCAAGGCCTTCCGCCTGCCAGACTTTCCCGGACTCCCCAGTTGATCACCCATCTTCCCGCACCTCCCTCAACTCTCCGCTCCTCTCTCCCTAACACCGGGCTGTCTCCTCACCTTCTCACACCTCCCAACCTCCCTACGCATTTTTCCCTTCCTTTAAGCAGCCCCCATCTCAAACACGCTCAGCTCTCTCCCTTCACCCCCACTTTGTCCCCTCACACCCCAACTCCCTGAGCACCTGGGGAGAAGGGGCGGGGCCCCCTCACCTGGCGGCCGCAGAGCAGCGGGGAAGCGGCCCCTAGCGGCCGGGGAAGGAAGCGCAGCCCAGCCGGGCTCCCCTTTCAGCTGGTGCCTAACTAGGAATCCGCCTCCACTTAAACGCCCGCCTGCTGCTCAGGCTGGAACCCGGCGGCTTCCGGGATTCTCGCTTTCCTCCACTCCCCCGCTTTCTCCTGAGCGCCTACTATGTTCCAGGATCGGTCCTAGGCTCCGGGTAGACAGCAGTGAACAAGAAACAAACATCTCTGGACTGGGGAGTTGGTATTCTAGTGAGGGAGACAGATAAATGAATGAAAACGAAACTAGGTCAGGATATGCTGTGGGGACCAGGAGTTCGAGACCAGCCTGGACAACATAGCGAGACCCCCCCCCCCCCCACATCTCTGGGACTGGAGAGAGATAAAGGGGAGAGGAGATCAAGGGAGTGAGGAGGGTGGGGGTGTTTGCAGTTTTCTTTTTTTTGAGACAGAGTCTTGCTCTGTCGCCCAGGCTGGAGTGCAGAGGTGTGATCTCGGCTCACTGCAACCTCCACCTCCCGGGTTCAAGCGACTCTTGTGCCTCAGCCTCCTAAGTAGCCGGGATTACAGGCATGCGCCACCACACCCAGCTAATTTTTGTGTTTTGTATTTTCTTTTCTTTTCTTTTTTTTTTTTTTTTTTTTGAGACGGAGTCTCGCTCTGTCGCTCAGGCTGGAGTGCAGTGGCGTGATCTCTGCTCACTGCAAGCTCCGCCTCCCGGGTTCACGCCATTCTCCTGCCTCAGCCTCCCTAGTAGCTGGGACTACAGGCACACACCACCACGCCTGGCTAATTTTTTGTATTTTTAGTAGAGACGGGGTTTCACCGTGTTAGCCAGGATGGTCTCGAGCTCCTGACCTCGTGATCTACCCGCCTCGGCCTCCCAAAGTGCTGGGATTACAGGCGTGAGCCAGCGCGCCCCGTCCTGTGTTTTGCATTTTCAATAGAGTGGTCAGGAAGTAACATGAGCAGAGTTCAAGGAGGGTGCAAAGTAAGGGGTCCTGTTGACTCTGCCCCTAAGACATGCCCAAAACCTAACGTTTCCCCCCAGCATCCTGTTCTGGGCCTCCATCACCTGCCTGTCACCTGGATGACAGTGGTGATCACCTCGCGAATCTCCTGGCTCCCTCTCAAATTGACTATATAATTTATTTATTTATTTATTTATTTATTTAGAGACCAGGTCTTGCTATGCTGCCCAGGCTGGTCTCGAACTCCTGGGCTCAAACGATCCTCCCGCCTTGACCTCCCAAAGTGCTGGGATTACAGGCATGAGTCACTGCGCCCGGCTGACCTGTATAATTAAAAAATAATAATAATCAATATATATATAATTGATTGTATATATTATATATATTATATATATTATATATAATTGATATATATAATATAATATATATTATATATTATACAATATATTATATATTATACATTATATAATATATATTATACATTATATATTATACATTATATATTATATATTATACAGTATATATTATACATTATATAATATATATTATATTATACTATATATTGTATATTATATTATATATTATATTATACTATATATAGTATAATATATTATATTATATATTATATTATACTATATATAGTATAATATATTATATTATATAATATATTATACTATATATAGTATAATATATTATATTATATATTATATTATACTATATATTGTATAATATATTATATTATATATTATATATTGTATAATATATTATATTATATATTATATATTGTATAATATATTATATTATATATTATATATTATAATATATTATATTATATATTATATATTATAATATATTATATTATATATTATATATTATAATATATAATATTATATATTATATATTATATATTATATATAATATTATATAATATAATATTATATATTATATATAATATTATATTATGTATTATATAATATATATTATATATTATATATTATATATTATATATTATATTATAATATATAATATTATAATATATAATATATAATATTATAATATATAATATTATATATTATAAAATATAATATTATATATTATTATATAATATATAATATTATATATTATAATATATAATATATAATATATAATATATATTATAATATATAATATATAATATATAATATATAATATTATATATATAATATATAATATTATATATATAATATATAATATTATATATTATATATATAATATATAATATTATATATATAATATATAATATATAATATTATATATTATATATATAATATATGATATATAATATTATGCAATATATAATATAATATATAATATTATATAATGTATAATATATAATGTATAATGTATAATATAATATATAATATTATACAATATATAATATAATATATATTATACAATATATAATATAATATATATTATATAATGTATAATATATAATATATAATATTATATAATGTATAATATATAATGTATAATGTATAATATATAATATTATATAATGTATAATATATAATATTATATAATATATAATATATTATATTATATAATATATAATATATTATATATTATATATATCAATTATATATAATATATATAATATATATAATATATATAATCAATTATATATATTGATTATTATTATTTTATTGATATTTATTGATAATATTATATCAATATTTTTTGATAATATTATATATAATATTATAATATATAATATTATATAATATATACAATATATAATAATAATCAATAAATTATATATATATATATATTTTAAGAGATAGGGGTATCGCTCGGTCACCCAGGCTGGAGTGCAGTGTTGCAGTCACAGCTCACTGCAGTCTCTAACTCCCAGGCTCAAGTGATCCTCCCACTTCAGCCTCCCAGGTAGCTGGGATTACAAGAGCACACCAGCATTCCTAGCATTTTCTTTCCTTCCTTCCTTCCTCCCTTCTTATCTTCCTTCCTTCCTTTTTTTTTTTTTTTGGCATCTCACTCTATTGCCCAGGCTGGACTGCAGTGGTGCGATCTCAGCTCACTGCAAACTCTGCCCCTGGGTTCAAGTGATTCTCCTGCCTCAGCCTCTGGAGTAGCTGGGACTACGGGCATGTGCCACCACGCCCAACTTTTTTTGTATTTTTAGTAGAGATGGGGTTCTCCATGTTGGCCAGGCTGGTCTCAAACTCCTGGCCTCAAGTGATTTGCCAGCCTCTACCTCCCAAAGTGCTGGGATTACAGGGGTAAGACACCGTGCCCCAGCCCCTAGCATTTTTTTTTTTTTTGAGGCAGAGTCTCACTCTGTTGCCCAGGTTGGAGTGCAGTGGCACAATCTCGGCTCACTGCAACCTCTGCCTCCTGGGTTCAAGCGATTCTCCTGCCTCAGCCTCCTGAGTAGCTGGGATTGCAGGCGCCCGCCACTACGCCCGGCTAATTTTTATAGTTTTAGTGGAGACGGTGTTTCACCATCTTGGCCAAGCTGGTCTTGAACTCCTGACCTCGTGATCCACCTACCTCGGCCTCCCAAAGTACTGGGATTACAGGCGTGAGCCACCGCGCCCGTCGGCCAGCATTTTTAATTGAGCTGAAATTCCCACAACAAAAAATTAACCACCAACCATTTTAAGGTGGACGATGTCGTGTCATGTCATAGTACATTCATCATGTCTAGTTCCAAGACGTTTTTCATCATCCCCTAAAGAAAACTCACACCTGTTAGCAGTCACTCCCCATTTCCTGCCTCATATAGTAATTCTGTGTTATTGAGGGAGCACTCATATAATCTTTTATTTATTTATTTATTTTTATTGATTGATTTGTTTTTTTGAGACAGAGTCTCGCTCTGTTGCCCAGGTTGGAGTGCAGTGACATGATCTTGGCTCACTGAAAGCTCCGCCTCCCCCGTTCACACTATTCTCCTGCCTCAGCCTCCCGAGTAGCTGGGACTACAGGTGCCCGCCACCACGCCCAGGTAATTTTTTGTATTTTTAGTAGAGATGGGGTTTCACTGTGTTAGCCAGGATGGTTTCGATCTCCTGACCTCATGATCCACCAGCCTCGGCCTCCCAAAGTGCTGGGATTACAGGCATGAGCCACCGTGCCTGGCCTATTTTATTTATTTTTACTTTAACGTTTTGTTTTAGAGACAGGGTTGGGAGGTTTTAGAGAGGATAGGTTGGGGGCGGGGAATAATTCCAACTGTGGTCTTTTTCTTTTCTCACCCTGTTGCCCAGGCTGGAGTGCAGTGGCTATTCACAGACGTGATTCCACTACTGATCAACACAGGAGTTTTGACCTGCTCTGTTTCCAACCTGGGCCAGTTGACTCTTCCTTAGGCAACCTGGTGGTCCCCTGCTCTTGGGGGGTCACCACATTGACGCCGATGGTCATGGCACACACCACCTCCCAGAAGTCCTAGGCTCAAGCCTGTGTGCGTGAATCCTCCTGCCTCAGCTAGGATACAGGATCACACCACCAAGCCCAGCCCTATAATCTTTTAAACATCCAAATAAGATCATGCCACCCACTTCTGAAAGCCCTCTTGGGGTTCCTAGTATCACTGGGAATATAATCTAGACCCTCTCCTGGCCTCCCACCATGCTAGCCTAGCCCTGGTGCCTTTCAAATAGTCCTGCCTAGCTAGGCGCAGTGGCTCACACCTGTAATGCTAGCATTTTGGGAGACCGAGGCGGGAGGATCGCTTGAGCCTGGGAGTTTGAGAACAGCCTGGGCAACATTGTGAAACCCTGTCTCTACAAAAATACAAAATTAGCCAGGCATGGTGGTGTATGCCTGTCGTCCCAGCTACTCAGGAGGCTGAGGCAGGAGACTTGCTTGAACATAGGAAACAGAGGTTGCAGTGAGCTGAGATTGAGTCACTACACTCCAGCCTGGACAACAGAGTGAGAAAAGAAAAAGACCACGGTTGGAATTATTCCCTGCCCCCACCCTATCCTCCCAGCCCAAATCTGGGACCCGGCTCAGAACCTAACTTTTTCTTTTTTTTTTTTTTTTTTAGACTGAGTCTTGCTCTGTCTCCAGGCTGGATTGCAGTGGTGCGATCTCGGCTCACCACAACCTCCAGCTCCCGGATTCAAGCGATTCTCCTGCCTCAGCCTCCCAAGTAGCTGGGATTACAGGCATGTGCCACCATGCCTGGCTAATTTTGTATTTTTAGTACAGACCGGGTTTCTCCATGTTTGTCAGGCTGGTCTCGAACTCCCAACCTCAGGTGATCTGCCCACCTCAGCCTCCCAAAGTAATGGGATTACAGACGTGAGCCACTGCGCCCGGCCTATAACTACATTTTTTAACTACTTGGGCATGTTCTGGAGCCTTCGTTGCCCCTTCTATAAGATGGGGAGAAAGTCCCCCACCCACAGAGTTACCATAAAGTATAAATGAGAGCATTCGTGTTCATTTGAGCCATTTCTCGGCCAGCCTGAACCTCTCCCCGGGCACCAACTTCATGCCTCCACTTGGACATATCAAACCAAAGGCTTGGATCTAACCTACAAAACTGCCTCCTCTCCATCCTCTCCATCCTTCCAGGGGCTCACTCAGCTCACACATTTTGACTTACCTCTTTCCCTCGTATCCCACTTCCAATCCATCTGCTCCACCTTCAAAATATACCCCCTGAGGATGGGCGCGGTGGCTCACGCCTGTAATCCCAGCACTTTGGGAGACTGAGGTGGGCAGATCACCTGAGGATGGGAGTTCAAGACCAGCCTGACCAACACGGAGAAACCCCGTCTCTACTAAAAATACAAAATTAGCCAGGCGTGGTGGTGTGTGCCTGTAATCCCAGCTACTCCGGAGGCTGAGGCAGGATAATGGCTTGAACCCCGGAGGTGGAGGTTGTGGTAAGCTGAGATCACACCATTGCACTCCAGCCTGGGCAACTGCGTCTCAAAAAAACAAAACAAAACAAAACAAAAAACAAACAACAAAAAAACCTGGCCGGGTGCAGTGGCTCATTTCTGTAATCCCAGCACTTTGGGAGGCTGAGGTGGGCAGATCATTTGAGGTCAGGAGTTCAAGACCAGCCTGGCCAACATGGTGAAACCGTTTCTACTGAAAAAAAAAAAAAAAAATCAAAAATTAGCCTGGCATGGAGGCGCATGCCTGTAATCCCAGCTACTTGGGAGGCTGAGGTAGGAGAATCAATTGAATCTGGGAGGCAGAAGTTGCAGTGAGTCGAGATCATGCTACTGCACTCCAGCCTGGATGACAGAGTGGGACTCCATCTCAAAAAAAAAAAAAAAAAGAACACAGTTGGAATTACTCCCTGCCCCCAACCTATCCTCCTAGCCCAATTCTGGGACCTCTTTATCTTGCCCTCCACTTGGCTTGGCAGTGGGGGTGGAACTGAATGGAGCTCAGAAATCGCCCAAGGTTGGCCGGCCACCATGGCTCACACCTGTAATCCCAGCCCTCTGGGAGACTTAGGAAGGAGGATCATTTGAGCCCGGGAGTTTGAGACCAGTCTGGGCAACATAGCAAGCTATGAAAAAAAAAAAAACAAAAATTAGCTGGGTGTGGTGGCTCGTGCAGTGAGCTGCAGTGAGGTATGATTTCATCACTGCACTCCAACCTGGGTGACAGAGAGAGACCCTGTCTCTAAAAATAAATAAAGAGGGCAGCGCGGTGGCTCACGCCTGTAATCCTAACATTTTGGGAGGCCGAGGTGGGCGGATCACTTGAGGTCAGGAGTTCGAGACCAGCCTAGCCAACATGGTGAAACCCTGTCCCTACTAAAAATACAAAAATTAGCCGGAAATCACTTGAACCCGGGAGAGGGAGGTTGCAGTGAGCAGAGATCGTGCCACTGCACTCCATCCTGGGCAACAGAGCGAGACTCCTCAAAATAAATAAATAAATACAAATATAAATAAATAAATACAAATATAAATAAATAAATAAAAGAAGTTGCCTAAGATGGGGGTACAGGGAGCCTCTGGAAAGGCCAGGGACACACAAAACTTCACCCACACCTCAAGGCTTGGATAGGTCCATCCTCCACTCCCTGGCACCTGCTGACTTTCCAGGGCTCATTCCATCACACATTCTGAGTCCATCTTCTCCATGATGAAGGGAGCGCCCAGAGAAGGCTCCCTGCCTTGTTCCCTGTGCACTGGAGGCGCATTCTCAATGCATCACACTGCACCTGACAGGTAAGAGCATATAAGGTGCGTGCTGTGTGTTTGAGGCGTAAATGGAAGGAATGAATACGTGCACCGAGCAGTGAAATGAACAGCAGGGTTGTGCATCCTATACCGAATGGGCTCTAGGAAAACAGGGGCTGGGGGCGCCTGGTGGACAGTGGCTGTCTGGCGTTGCCCTGACCTGTCCAGGAGCCTGAGGCAGGGCACCCGGGAACGAGGGCGCTGGGCCTGAGGCAAAGGGAAGCTGAGCACTGGGGTGAAGCAGAGCCTTCAGGACTGTGAGGCTGGGGGCCCAACCGAGGCAGTGGGCGCAATACATGGAAGGCACAGAGAGGGGACAGACAAGGCACAGGCGAGCCCAGCTGTGTCTGACGCTGGGATGCTGGAGGTGCTAGGCGTACAAAATGTGGAGTCCCAGATACGCAGGAGAGCACAGGGTGCCCTAGGCATAGGGCACCCTGGGCGTGCGGGTTCTCTAGCACAGGGTGCGCAGAAGATGGGGCGTCCAGGTGCAGGGTTCATAGAACATGGGGTACTCGAGGCGCGTGGCACCGTGGGCGTGGAGGTCCCGTGGGACGGAATACACAGAGCGTGGGGTGTCTCAGGAGCGGGGCTCATGGGGAGCCCAAGGCGCAAAGTGGGAGGCTGGAAGCGAGGAGCGCCCTGGGAGCAGGGTGTCCGAAGCGCGGGTACCGACCTGGGCAGCGCGGGGCACGCGGCGCGCGGGCGAGTCTGCGTGCGCGCGCGGACGCCTTGGTTCCCGGAGCCCGGTTGCTGGCGCGGCCTCCACTGCGGCTGCGCAGCCGAAGGCCTGAGGGGCGCCAGGGCTCTTTACGCGCCCCCCAGCCCCTCCGCACTCTTTGCCTCCTGAGCACGCCGCTCACAAGTCCAGGAGACATGGATCAGATGGAGGCTGGAGAGCCGATCCCAGCTGGGACCAGTGGGGTTTAGAGGGTCTAGAAAGGGGCGAGGGGCGGGGGTGAGGGGGGTTCCGGCTGGGGTTTTCCAAACTGAGCTGAGGGTGCCTTAAAGAATGTCGTTGCTTTCCCTCATGTAAGTAAAGGCCACTCCTTCTCGTAGCCTCTGGAGAGTGCAAGTTAGAACCACCTCCTAGGCTAGCTCTGTAGGGGGAAGTGGGTGGGCTGCTCAGGGCTGGAGGGTGGGGTGGGGACAAAGGCCTGGAGCAGGAGAACAAGGAGGTGACCAGCTTTTCCTGAGCGTCAAGTTCTGTTCCCTTTTCGGTACTGCTGGGTTTATAGAAAGCTGGCTGCCTGGAGTGCCCTCCATCTCAAAGCCTTCATGGGTCTTACTTGGTGCTGTCAATATCTCAAACTGGGAAATTGAGGCGTAGAGAGATGGGATGCCCTCCTCCATACCCAGTGGATCTGCAGTCAACCACAGATGGATGGGATCCGTTTTGCACTCACCAAATCCTACTTTATATTTGGTCCCCCAGATCCCGGTGTCCAACCTGGCCACCCAGATTCAAGGCTGGACAGCTTTGCAGCCATGAAATCCTGGGCATGAAGGAGGAACGAAAGTGACCCATCCCTCCATTTTGAAGTTCTCTGGGGCCAGATTTGCCTAGGTTCTGGCTTTCAAGAATCCCTTCCCCGTCGTGAAGAGACAGCTGTCCGTAGAAGGCGGTGGAGGGTGACAGGCTGCCACAGCAGTGGTGCGTGGTCACCCGGGCAGCCTGGAAGTCTGGTGTCCCTGCACTTCCTCCAGTTTAGCCACAGGGACGTGCTTCTAGGAAGGGATTCTTAGAGGCCAAGTTAATTCCCGTGCAGATATTCAATTCAGGCTTTCTTAGATACTCATTTTTCCCATCCAGATATGCCTCAAGTTTTGTGGATTTACCACTCCTACTCAGGAACCCTTTTCCCTTTCCTCATTCATTCTGCAAAGCGCATGGTTAGCAATGCACTCTCTTCCCTGGACATATAGGGAATGGGGGTTTCCCCCATCCCCATCCTCAGCCCGTCCCCCTCCTCTAAAACTCAGATCAGGGTTTGTCTGCCCTGCTGCTAAGATGCAGCCCAACTTTGAACTCTGAGCTGTCTGCTTTAACATTTGGGCCTCACTTGAATGGATTCCCTTCCCTGAGGATTCCAAGCCCTCCCCAGCCATCAGTCTTCCCATCTTTCATAAAATGGAGCCAGCAGCCCCGCTTCAGGGACTCCCCCCCTCCCCCCTGTTCCCTCCACTCCAGGATTCTTCCCACTTCCATTTCCCTCCAGCCCCCACCCTGCACAAAGTTGCCTGTTCTGCCGAAGTGCCTATTTTTGGCTTGGGGCCCAGTTTTATAGCCCCAGCTATAGGTCTTGGCAGTCATAACTTTCGCTCTCCAGAGAGCCAAGCCGGGTCCAACAGCCTTCCCCACCCCAGAGAGGGGGTGCGGGGGCTCCCTCTGCAGCCTCAACCCGAAACCTGCCCCTCGCCTCACTTGGTCTGATGCCTGGGAACCCAAGCCTGCTTCTTGCCCTACTTCTTAGAGTCCACCAGCTGCAATGGAGTTGTTAGGTGTTGAAAATCCATGCCGGGTTTTTACTCTTTTAGAGAACATAAAATTCAATTTTTCCCCTCGCACCCCCTCCCCAAAAGCAAGACTTTGAGGCGTTTACAGGTACAAACCTCCCCCTAACGCTTCCCTCCGCCCCTGCTGCCCGGTCAGCTCCAAGCCCCTGTCCCGGTGGCCCAGGATCTTCTGCTGAGGGTCTCATCCCGTCCCGCGCTCCAGTCCTGGCTTTGCGTGCCTCCCTCGCCTTTTATTGTAGGTCTGGTCTCCCAGGGTAGCGGCCTCATCGCATTCCCTTCGCAGCGCCCCTGGATCCAGAAACCGCTTTTACCTGTCCGCTCCGGTGCAGCCAGCGCGCCAAATCCCTTCGTACCCGAGTCCAGTCCTCCTTTTGCCCGTCCCCCTTGCACGTCGCTGCCAGGAAGATGAGGGCAGCCCAAGTCGCCTCAGCCACTAAGCATCCCCCTTCCAGAACCCCCCACCATGCGAACCCAGGTCCCGGGAGTTCCGGGCCGGGTCTTGCTTGTTTCCACTGCGTTAGGCCTGACGCATTACTCCGTCTCCCGAGAAAGAATCCGGCCCGAAATTTGCGTGCCCCGGGTGCATTTGGCCATGTCGCATCTACCCCCCAACCCCCCGCTCCAACACCGTTCCTCCCATCTTTATCTAATCCAACTCGGGTTTTGCACAACCCTTCCAGATCTCCCCATTTGCGCCCTCCTTCCCCGGGCTCGGCGCCTTTCCTTATACTTCACTGGAAAATCCGCTCCGGGTCTTCCTTACGCCTGTCTCCCTTCCCCCACTCCCCGCTCCAACGCGGGGCTCCAGCACGTCGCTTTCCCTCTCCCTGCTTTTCCAGGGAGGAGGCGAGAGGAGGCGAAAGGAAGGAAAGTCCAGCCCGGGTTTTCGGGCCGGCTCCTGGGGCGCTCAAGCGGGTTGCGGCGGCCAGTCCCGGGCGGCGACTCCGGGCCGGGTTTTGCGCGCGCCCACCGCCCCCCTCCCGGAGCGGGTGCGCCGGGGAGCGGGGCGAGCAGGCGGCTTGTCATTGCTGGTGCCCGGCGCCGGCTCGGTCCGCGCGTCCTGCGGTGCCCACGGGCCCGGCCCGGCGCCCCCCCTCCGGCCGCACCGGGGGCGCGACGCCGCGGCACCCGCCTCCAGCCGCGCCGCCCCCCTCCGCCAGCTCCGCGCCGCCCGCCCCCAACCCGAGCTCCCCGCGGCCACTGCGGGGAGCCCGAGCCGTCGGCGCGGGAGCTGTCGGCGCTGCGGTGCCCCCGCCCCGCCGTCTGCCGAGGAGGCCCCGGCTGATGGGGCCGCGCGGGCCCCGGAGCGGCGCCGCCGGGCGGCGGGGGCCTGCAGGGGCGCCCCGGCTGCCCCGTTAACCCCTCGTCCACCGCCGGCGTCGGAGGGGGCTGGGAAGTCGCCTGGGCGCACACGTGCCGCCTCCGTCGGGGCCGCGGAGCTGCGGGGGAGATGCGGGCCGCTGCCGGCGCCGCCTCGGGGCGCTCCGCCTCGCCCCAGCCCCCGGCGCTCTGACGCCGCCCCCGCCCCACCGCCTCCCTCCCCGGGAGGGGCGCAGACCCGATCGCCCCCAGTCCCGAGCCTCCGCCGCCGCGAGGGGGCCGCCTTTGGATCCGTGTAATCCGCCTCTTTTTTTTCTTTTCTTTTCTTTTTTTTTTTTTTTCCTAATTTTTGGTCGGCGGCGGTGCTGGGCCAGGGGAAGGAAGGGACACGGAGGCCGCCCTCGTCCCGCCACCTCCTACCCGCTTCCCCCCAGCCCCGGCTCCGGGAGATGTGCCGGGCGGGGGGCCCGGGTTCGCCGAGCCGCAGGAGAGACACGCTGGGCCGACCCCAGAGAGGCGCTGGACAGGTGAGTGTCTGCGGGCCCAGGGCGAGGGGCGAAGCCGCACCTGGGCCAGGTGTGCGGGGCGCGTGGAAGAGGGGAGGCGGGAAGGATGGGAGGCCGGGGCCTGTCCTGGCCGCGAGGGGGGAGGGGACACGGGAGCCGCGCGGGGCACCGCACCTGAGCGGGAGGGGCGTCGGGGGCAGCCCGCACCTCACCCCCACTGGCGAGGGGCCTGGGAGGGGCGGCCCCCACGGAGCGCCCGGGGCGCGGGGGTGCGGACGGGCTACCGCAGGGTGCCTGGCGGGGGGAGGGGACCGCGAGTGTGCCCGCGCGTGGCTGCGTGTGCCCGCGCGCGCGCCAGCCTTTGTGGGGAAGCGGCGCGGCGGTGCCTGCGTGTCCCCGGTGCGTGTGCGCGCGGGTGCTTGGCGCCCTGTTTGTGTAGGTGTCTGGGTGTGAGCGGAGGGGGTGCGTGTGCGCGCCGCGCGCCGGCCCCGCGCCCCAGAGGAGCCGTGTCGGGGGCTGGCACCACAGGATGCTGGGCGAGGGGGTTGTTTTTCTCTGGGAGGCAGTGGCGCGGGGGATGGGGAGGGGTCCGTCTGGGTGTCCAGCCGGCCGCAGTCCGGGGGGCGCCGCTGTCAGGAGGAGGGGGTGCAGCCGGGCAGCACCTTCTCTCCGTGGTGCCGGGTTAAAGCACGGGAGGCCGGCAGGTTTGATCCACTCGGATTATTCGTGCTTTGAGGACAGCTCCCCACCCCCACCCCAGGTGCGCATTGGATTGAGCTGCGAGGGTTTGGTTGTCATCCTCCCATCTGACGGTCCTGGGACCCGAGTCCAGGCCTGAAGTGGTGGGGTGGGGGGATGCTGTGTTTGCTCCAGCCGTGTCCAGAAAATGCCCTCCCAGGTATCTCTCCAGTGCACCCCTGGCCCCCATCTGAAGACAGCCGCTGGCTACACACACCCCTGTCTCTACACTTCCAGTCCGGGTCCTCACACTGCCCCATCCCTGGCCAACACCTCACTGTACCTGCCTGGACCCTTTCTTCCTGTTCCAACCCCCATCCACCCCCAGCCATGCCAGCTGCGTGGGTGTTTCTGTATCCCAGTTCCAGGCAGGGCCCCCCCTTCCGCCTGGCTTCCACCGGACTCAGAGCTGGGGTCTGTCTTCCCACATCCCACTTCCCAACATGTGTGCCTGGGGGCAGGAGGGGGAGGGGTTCAAAATGGCTGCCAAGATGGCTGGCTCGCGCGCTCTCTCTCTCTCTGTCTGTCTCTCTCTCTCTCTCTCTCTCTCTCTCACTCTCTCTGTCTTTCTCTATCTCTCTCTGTCTTTCTCTCTTCCCCTCTCTGCTTGCCCGGCTCCCTTATCCTGGTAGGGAGTCACTGCTTAGAGGAGGTCGGATCCAGTGGGGCACACCTGAGGGTGAATGTCTATTCCGGGCCGTTGACCTCCATGCTGTTTGGGGACAGACCATTGGTTTCTGCTTCTCTCTCCAACACCCCAAGGGCTGGCATGAGTCTAACCTGACCCCAGACCCCACTCCTTCACCCTGGCTCACAGCCTGAAAGCTCCGTGCCCTCCACCTGCTCTCCAGGGCCTGGCCCCCTGAATTGATCAACCCCACGGAGGGTCCACACCCCTCATTCTCTTCTCCTGTCTGCCCCCGGCAGGGGACTCTGCGTGGGTCCCTGTCAGGCCCCAGCTTTGGGGGGCAGGTGACTTCTCCTTCCTCCCTGCTCCCCTCCCACTAATGCCAAATTTATTACTTAAAAGTAGGATGAAAACAGGGAGAATAAGAGAAGGATTACAACCTTCATTATCATATCGAGAAAATTATCCGTGATTTTCCTAACTAGCAATTTGTCTGCCATGCCGTTCAGAACTGACTTGCCCATTAATTACAGAGATGAAAAATCATCTGGAATTCGGAAAAGGGAACTAATTCCATGGCTGGCAGCGATCGCACCCGTGCACGGAGCCACATACGTGTGCGACATACGTGTGCGCTCACATGTGGGTCCCGGCCCTCCTGCTGGTCTTGCCACCATCTTCCTACCCAGCTTGGTGACCTCCCTCATGGCCCCGCTCGGTCCACCCCATGTGTGTGTGGCATCTGCTCTGGGACACCCCTGCAGGCCCTCTTTCTCTCCAAGGGGCGCCCATCTCAATCCCCACTTCTGGGCGCTTGCGTACCCCGTGATCACCCACGCTGATTCCTGCTCTTGGGGGTGTAGCTGGCGCCCAGGCTTGGGGAGGATGGGGAGCTGGGGACCAGCACACCTGGGCTGTGGAGCCTGCAGGGAGGGGGTGGAAGGGGGGGACTCGAAGCCCAGCTTCTATTCCCAGCCTGCCCAGGGGAGCCCTTTCTCCTGGGGGGCCTTGGAGGACCCTGTGGGCACGTTGGGGAGGAGCCTACAGGCGCCTCAGCTGCACGGGAGTGTGTTTGCATCCAGCAGTTTGGGCTCCTGGCGGGTGGCCTCTCCACCTGCATGTGAGGCTGTGTGACGCTTGCATCTCGGGGCGTCTGCGTCCTCCCTACCCTGCCAGGCTGGTGGCAGAGCATGTGTTGCTTCAGCCCCAGCGCAGGCATCTCGGTGGGGAGGGTGGCAGTGGGTGCCCCTCAAGAGGAACGGGAGGAGTGGGAGCACTGCCATCCCCGCCAGAGCATCGTCTTTGCCCTCCACCCCCTCCTTTCTCCCTGGCGAGACATGTGGCCAAGGACACACAAGGCTCTCGTTTCTGTGTGGGTTCCTCTCACGGATCTGATTTCCAGATGCCAGACACTTCCCCTCCTCCAGCCCCTCTGTGGGGAGGCAGGGGGAGGGGCTCCTGAGGCGGGGGTTCCCTGGGTCTGAAACCCTGACCCCAGTGACCCTGAAGGTGCCGTGGCAAGACAGACAGCTCCTCCCAGGCTGGGTTTGGGGCAAAGTGGTTGCTATTGGGCACCCTGATGGAAGGGGAGAGACGGGTCCTGGAGTGAGGTGGGAGGCCAAGTAGAAACATGGAGGGGGTCCCGGTGTCCCCAGAATCCAGATGTCTGTCTGTCTGTCTGCACCTGTGCATAGGTGTCCTCTGCCTGTGTGGCCTGGATGGTGATCTAGCCAAGGGTGCATGTGGCCACGTGACCATCAGACTCATCCGGTGTTCATAAAGGTCCCTCCTGTGCTGGTGTTTGTGTTTTGCAGAGGGGGTGGTCATGCTGGGGGAGGCAGGGCTGCAAGAAGGAGTAGCTGTCTGTGTGCACACATGGGGCTGTCTGCATCTTTTGTGCACCTGCAGTTGTGTGCTCAGGACTTCTTGGAGCAAGGCTGGGTGCACCTTGTCATGCAATCTGCACACACTTGCCTCCCCACCCAGCACCATGCAGGGGGCGCCATGGGGGGTGGTGGCCATGTCCTGTCCTCATGGAGCTCACACTCTAGCAACACATATGGGGTTTCCATCAAAGCTCTCCTATCAGCTGGGCGTGGTGGCTCATACCTGTAATCCCAGCACTTTGGGAGGCTGAGGCGGGTGGATCACCTGAGGTCAGGGGCTCGAGACCAGCCTGGCCAACATGGTGAAACCCCATCTCTACTACAAGTACAGAAATTAGCCAGGCGTGGTGGTGTGCACCTGTAGTCCCAGCTACCAGGGAGGCTGAGGCGGGAGGATTGCTTGAATCCAGGAGGCGGAGGTTGCAGCGAGCCGAGATTGTGCCACTGCACTCCAGCGTGGGCGACAGAGCGAGACTCATTCTCAATAAAAAAAAAAAACCCAAAACAAAAAAGCAAAACTCTCCTGTCATGTGAGTTGGGGAGAAGGCATGTGTGTCTTCTTTTCGAGGGTAGCCCCAAACTCTGACTGCAGTAGCCCACAGGCTTGGACTGTCCTGGGGTCTGGCCCTTCATGGTCTTTCTGGGCCATCTCCTCCCTCCTCGTTGCTCGTCCAGTGTGCTAAGTGTGATCCTACCCCGGGGCGTTTGCACTGGCTGTTCTGCCACGGAGGACCCTTCCCCAGATATTTTCGAGGCTTTTTCTCCCCCACCCTCTTGAAATATCACCTCCCCAGTAACGTTTACTCCCAGGCACCTTCTGCAAAGTCTCAGCTTCCCACACCCCTCCTGATGTTCAGTACAGCGGACGGCTTTTCACATAGTCTGTAATTTCCTGATGTTCTGCGCTTGTTTGTTTACTGTCTGTGTCTGTGAGGAGGATCCAAGCGCGCGAGGATGTTGTGATTTGCTTTGCTTTGGGAATCCCAGGTGTCAACAGTCATCACTGGCCCACAGTGTGCGTTCAAGAAGTCTTACCTGACCCAGGTGTGGTGACTCACACCTGTAAACCCAGAATGTTGGGAAGCCGAGGTGGGAGGATTGCTTGAGGACAAGAATTTGAGATCAGCCTGGGCAACATAGCAAGACTCGTTTCTAAAATTTTTTTTTTAATAGTTGGGCATCGTGAATATGTACCTGTAGTCTCAGCTGCTCAGGAGGCTGAGGTGGGAGGATGGCTTGAGCCCAGAGGTTTGAGGCTGCAGTGAGCTATGATTGCACAAGTGCACTCCAGCCTGGGCGACGAAGCAGGATCCTGACTCTTAAAAAAAAAAAAAAATGCCCCTGCCTTCACTGTCTCCTGTTCCAAAATTTGGGGGGAGATAAAAATTCAATAAATAGATGCCCAGGCCAAAAATAACCTTGCCCCCCCCCACCCCGCCAAAAAAAAAAAACAAAAAAACTCAGAATAGCCAGTGCCCCTCCCTCAGAGGCTAAAAATACCCTGCAGGTCACAAATGATCAGGTCAGGAAGCCAGATGGATTCTCCTTCTTATCCCTTGAGGAGGTGAGGGGTCCGGGGCTGGCTTTCCCAGACAGGATTTCCTAGACGATTTCCATTACTCCTGACTTCGGCACTGCATCATTCTCTGTGGGAGGCTGTCCTCTGTACTATAGGATGCTCAGAGGCCACCCTAGCCTCTTCCCGATGGATGTCAGTGACACCTCCAGCCCCACAGTCGTAACACCTCAGAAAGTCTCCAGACATTGCTAAACATACTGGGATCAGGGGCAGAATTGTCCTGGGTTGGCAGTGATGGCTGTAGAGTAGAGGTTGCCAGTGGGAAAAAGTGGCCCACGCCTGTAATCCCAGCACTTTGGGAGGCTGAGGCAGGAGGATCACTTGAGTCCAGGAGTTCAAGACCAGCCTGGGCGACAAAGCGAGACCCCCTTCTTTACAGAATACAAAATTTAAAAATTAGTTGGGCATGGTGCCGCACGCCTGTCGTCCCAGCTACCCGGGAGGCTGAGGCAGGAGGATCACTTGAGCTGGGAGGTCAAGGCTGCAGTGAGCTGTGATCGCGCCACTGCATTCCAGCCTGGGCAACAGAGCAAGACCCTGTCTCAAAAAAATATATACGTAAATAAAATAGAGTAGAGGTTGGCTGACTTTTCTGTAGAAAGCCCGATGGTAAATCCTGCAAGCTTTGCGGGCCGCAGACGGGTTCTGTGGCCTGTTCTCTTTTCTCTTCTTCTCTTCAGTCCTTTAAAAATGTAAACACCATTCTTAGCTCACCAGCTGTACAAAGGCAGGCGGGGGCCTGACCATGGTTGGCCGACCCTGCCCCAGAACGCCCCCTAGTGGCTTCTGGGAGTGAAGGCTGGGCAGAGGGGCGGCCCCATTTGGGGAGCAGTTGTGTGTTTAAAGTACAAGGCGAGTCCTGCACAGTCTGTTCCCGGCACCTCCCTGCTCTCACCTCCTCCCACTCTCCTCACCAGCTCACAACCCGCTTCCTCGATGCAGCTGCCACCGTTATTCAAACATATAGGCACGGTCCAGCCCCAGGGCCTTTGCACGGGCTGTGACCCTGCCCAGGATGCTCTTCTAACTCTCCTGAACTGAACACCTGCGTGCTCCTCTCTCAAATTCACAGGGGTTTGCTGAAATGTCATCTTCTCCAGGGGAGATGGCCTTTCCTGATCATCCTGTTGAAAATTGCAACAGCCGGGCACAGTGGCTCATGCCTGTAATCCCAGCACTTTGGAAGGCCGAGGTGGGTGGATCACCTGAGATCAGGAGATCGAGACCAGCCTGACCAACATGGTGAAACCCTGTCTCTACTAAAAATACAAAAATTAGCTGGGTGTGGTGGTGAGTGCCTGTAGTCCCAGCTAATCAGGAGTCTGAGTCAGGAGAATCGCTTGAACCTGGGAGGCAGAGGTTGCAGTGAGCCAAGATCACGCCATTGCACTCCAGCCTGGATGACAGAGCAAGACTCTGTCTCAAATAAATAAATAAAATAAAATAAAATTGCAACAGCCGGGCACAGTAGCTCGTGCCTGTAATCCCAGCACTTTGGGAGGATGAGGCGGGAGGATCGCTTGAGTTTGAGACCAGCCTGGGAAACATAACGAGGCCCCCATTTCTACAAAAAAATTAAAAATTAGCTGGGCACGGTGGCACACGCCCTGTGGTCCCAGCTACTTGGGAGGCTGAGGCAGGAGGATCCCTTGAGCTCAGAGGCTGTGGTGAGCTATGATCCCACCACTGCACTCCAACCTGGGCAACAGAGTAAGACCCTGTCTCTAAAAATACGATTAAAAAAAAAAACACACACACTCCCAAACCCACACACACTCATAGCCACTTTTCCTGGCTTTATCTTCTTTCACAACACTGGTACGCTATAGAATCGACTTTTTTGTACCCAGCCCCTCAGTGTCTGGCACATAGAAGATGCTCCAAAAAAGATGTGTGGAATTGCCGAAAATTATTTCTAACCCCCACAGCCACCCTGGGAGGCTCTCGTTCCCCAGCTCCCCCGTGGAGAGACAGAATTGAGAGGAGTGACGTGGGTGTCCTGTCGTGCTGACATGACGGCGCACAGCCTGGATTTGAACCTGCAACTTAAGGGCGCTATGCCGGAGGCCTCTTCTCTCCTGCCCTGCTAGGCACCATGCCCCTGTCTCCTGGTCTTACCCTGCCCCTTACCTGCCAGCATCTGATGAGGCAGGGGGATCCCGCCTCTGTGCCCTCTGCTCGGGCCCTAGCTTCTAGAACTCTTTTCAGCTCTGCTCTGCTGAGCTCAGAGTGCAAAGGTTGGGGCTGGACAGTGAACACTTTGGAGTGGAAACAGACCACAGGCCACTGTGGTGTGGACGTGCCATGATGGTGAGCGCAACAGAGTTGCAAGTCAGGGAAGGCTTCCCGGAGGAGGGGGCTTCCCAGCTGCAACCTGGAGGGGGAGGAGGGGTATGGTGGAGGGGAAGGAGCATCTGTGAGAGAGAGGGGCTGCCCTGAGGTCAGACAGAAGATGGTGGCTCAAAGGGGAGGAAGGAGAAATGTTTCACAACTGCATGTGGAGAGAAGCTGGAGGCTGCTGGCTGGACTTGTGACTGTGGGGCTGCCAGGGCCTGTGGCAGGGGTGGGGGTAGAGGTAGGGGGTTTGCGTCAGGATCCAGATGGCAGGGTGAGAATGTTTAGCATGAGCTCCCTCTAGCTGCTACGTGGGAGAGAGCCATAGTTGGCAGGAAGGGAGGCCAGGAGGCCAGAAGGGAGGCCAGGAGGCAACCAGCAAGGTGGGGGCCAGAAGCAGCCAGTGCTTGGTGGAAGCTTCAGGTTTCTGGCTTTGACAGCCCTGTGGACAAAAGGCAAGGGACAGGTGGGGTAGAGAGTACCCTCCACTCCCAGCAACCCTCCCCACACACAGTCTGATCTCCACCTCTGCGGCCAGAGGACACCTGTGAACACCCGAGCCAGATCCCATCCCTCTGTTCAGGATTCCCGATGGCTCCCACCTCTCTAGAAAGCCAAAGTCCTCCCTGAGGTCCACAAGGCCCTGTATGGCCTCTGTGACCCCCCTCCCCAGCCGCCCTCACCTCCTTCCACTCTTCCCCTTGCTTGCAGGGCCCCAGCCACATCTCAGCACATTCCTACCCCAGGACCTTTGCACGTGCTGTTTCCTCTGCCCAGAATGCTCTTTGCACAGGTACCTAGATGGCTCACCTCCTCAAGACCTCTGCCGAAATGTCACTTTTTAGGGGAGGCATTTCCTGGCCACCCTGTCTACAGTTGCACCTACATGTATACCCCCTGTCAAGCACACCTTCCTCCATTGCACTTGTGACCAGTTGGGAACTCGGTAAACATCCACTGAATAGATGATCTGCTTTTTGGGTCTATTTCATCTTCATTCATTAAACAAATGAATAAGCATCCACTCCTTGCCCAGGGTTGGGTATGCAACAAGAGCCAGCCCAACCCACAATGGTACTTTCCCGTCAGAGTCCCTCGATGGTGGGGAAGACAGACATTTAACAGCTGAGCCCAAGTCCAGTTAGGGGAGCAAAACACAGAGACCCTGTGTGCTGTGAGAGTGGATATGAGAGATACGAATGCTGTCCTCTGGGCAGAGCCCTTTGGAGGGAGAGCAGAATAAGGAACTGTGTGTGAGAGAGAGACAGACGCTGAGTAGAAGTGATGGGAAGGTGGCAGGACAGCAGGGCCTGAGATGCCATGTTAGAGCATCACAGGCAATAGGGAGCCATGGAGGGTTGTAGGCAGGGAGGGGTGTAATTGGATTTCCATTTTGCAAAGATCGTTCTGACCTCAGGGTAGAGACTGGATGGGACGGGGTGGCAGATAGATGGGGAGATGAGGGAGAAGGTGTTGGGGGCGGGGGCAGGGAATTTTTTGAACGACCCCTACCCCTCTGCAGTCCAGTGCTGCTTGGTGGCCGGGGTGACCTTTATTTTATTTTATTTAGAGACGGAGTCTTGTTTTGTCACCCAGGCTGGAGTGCAGTGGCATGATCATAGCTCACTGCAGCCTTGACTTTTTGGGCTTGAATGACCCTGCTGCCTCAGCCTCCCGAGTAGCCAGGACCACAGGTGTGTGCCACCATGCCTGGCTAATTTTTAAATTTTTGTAGAGACAGGATCTCACTGTGTTGCCCAGGCTGGTCTCAAACTCCTGGACACAAGCAATTCTGCATTGGTCTCCCAAAGTGCTAGGATTACAGGCATGAGCCACTGTGCCCAGCTCCAGGGTGACCTTTAAAAGGTTCTTCGTTGAACAATTATATTTCAGCTTCCTGCTTGTGCCAGGCGCTGTGCTGAGTGTAGTATGCAAACCCCACCCTGCAGAGCCAGCATCTAGTAGCAGAGAGTTCATAAGCAAATAAAATGCATGGCGTGCTGGTGATAGGTATGGAGAAATCAAGTCAGGACATGGTGTAGGAGTGTGGGGGCCAGCAGGACCTTGCTGAACTAGTGATGTTTGAGGAAAGACCAAAAGGAAGATGCAGGAGGAGCTGTGAGGGGATCTGGGGAAGAGAGAAACAGCCCGTGAAGAGGCCCTAAGGCAGAACAGTGCCTGGTGTTTCACATTGTACAGGGCTTGTTTGTTTTTTGTTTTTGAGATGGGGTCTTGCTCTGTTGCCCAAGCTAGAGTGCAGTGGCATAATCTCAGCTCACTGCAACCTCCACCACCCGGGCTCAAGAGATCCTCCCACCTAAGCCTCCCGAGGAGCTGGGATCACAGGCGTGTGCCACTATGCCTGGCTAACTTTTTGTATTTTTGGCAGAGACAAGGTTTCACTATGTTCCCCAGGCTGGTCTGGAACTTCTGAGCCCAAGCAATCAGCCCTCTTCAGCCTCCTGAAGTGCTGGGATTACAGGTGTGCGCCGCCACATCCGGCCCAGTGCAGAGCCTTTGTATGATACAGACTTTGGCTTTTGGTCGAGTGAGGTGGGAGCCACGGAGGGTTCTGAGCAGAGGAGGGAAGCGGCTGACTTAGATGCTCACACGCGCCCTCTGGTGGCCCTGGGGGAAACATACTGTAGACAGTTTCATTTTGCAAAGATTGTTCTCGCCTCGAGGTAGAGATTGGATGGGACAGGGGTGGCAGATAGATAGGGAGACGAGGTGTAGACAGTGAGGTGGGGAAGTGGGGTCCAGCCAGGAGATGATGGGGCTGGACCAGAGAAGCTGAGGAGTGGCGAGAGGTGAGTGGACTCTGAAGGAGTAGCCACAGGACCTGACGGGGCTGGATGTGATGTGAGGGGAGAGGGATCCAGGATGACTGTCCGGTTCCTGAGCCCCTGGAGGGACTGGGCTGCCATCCACTGAGCTGGAGGATGGGGCAGGGACTGGAGATGCTGTGAGAACCCTGCCCTGCCCGAGGATCATGTACCTGGGCCCTCTCTGGGCACGTGCTCTGTCTCTGCGAGGTAGGTCTGTTAGTCCCTGAGCAGCAATGGGGAAATAGGTTCAGAGAGGCCAAGTGCTTGCTCTGAAGCTACACAGCAGATTGAAATTCAGGGGCTTCAACTCTCAGCTGATCCTTCATAGTCACCCCAGGGCCTGCGGCTTCCTTATGGACCTGCCGGATGCCTGAGGGCTTCCTGAAGGAGGCGGGCTCATGGGCGGCTGGGTTTGGGGAGTGGGCAGGAGGCAGGAGATGCAGCCAGAGGGCTGTGTGTGGAGGGGCCGGCTGCTGCCAGGAAGGGAGGAGACCATGAAGGGGGCCCAGATCCCAGATCCCCACCTTGGTTCCCCCACCCCCCACCCAAGGCACTCAGACTCCCACCCACTCGAGCACGCAGAGGGTTGCCATGGCAACTGCAGGCTAGGGCAGGCTAGAGGCGCCCCCTCTCCCCCAGCAGCCGCTTCTCCTCCTGTTGCTCTCCCCATCCCCATCACAGGGCACCCGAGGACAGAGTCTGGGCCTCAGTGGCCCACCCTGCCGCACCGACCCTTGACTTGAGACAGACGCAGGGCTTAGATGCGAACATACAGGCAGGTGTGCAGCCCCGTTTCCCATGGGTGAGATAGGGTCGCCTATGGCTGGGTGCAATGGATTCCTGGGTACACCTGTAATCCCAGCACTTTGGGAGGCTGAGGCGGGAGGATCGCTTGAGCCCAGGAATTCAAGACCAGCCTGGGCAACATGGTGAAACCTCATCTCTACAAAAAACACAAAAATTAGCCGGGCATGGTTTTGTGTGCCTGTAGTCCCAGCTACTCGGGAGGCTGAGCTGGGAGGATCACTTGAGCCTGGGAGGATGAGGCTGCAGTGAGCTGAGAGTGCACCATTGCACTCCAGCCTGGGCGACACAGCAAGATCCTGCTGTCTCAAAGGAAAAAAAAAAAAAAGAGAAGAAAGAAGGAAAGAAAAAAGAAAGACAAATAAGGTGACCAGAGACTACTGAGGTGCAAGGTGGGGACGGACACAGGTGTGGGCTCACCTGGCTTCCCAGGTGTAGAACGTCCAGGCGTGACCAGCTCTGAGGTTGCATAGACACTCAAATACAGTGTGGGCCCGGGGGTGGGGGCTCTTCTGGCCCCCCAGGATCCCCCCACAGCTCACCAAGCCCAACCTGGGGAGCCAGCCCTCCCTGGGTTCAAGCCCCCTTACCAGTTGAGTGTCCCTGGGTATATCTCTTCAATGACAGGACCTCACTTTCCTCCTCTGTAAACTGTGGGTACAAGCATCTCTCCTTCCTAAATGGTTATTAGGATTACATGAGTTACACGTGGAAGCTGCTCGGGCTGGCACTTGGAGCTGTCCGTCACTGTCCCAGGCATCTCAGGTGGTTCCTTGCTGGAGAGCCCAGCTAGATGCTCACCCTGTCGTTTGCTGTTTCCTGTAAATGGTTTCTTTAAAGTTCTGTGGCTCAGGCCCTTGCCCCCATCTCTGCCTCCCTCCTCACTCTCTTTGTGTCCTGACTCCCTATATGAATTTCCTAGGCTCCCACAACAAATTACCACAGACGGGACAGCTTTAGCAACAGAGACTTTATTGGTTTTTTTGTTTATGTTTCAGAGATGAGGTCTTGCTCTATTGCCCAGGCTGAAGTGTACTGGTGCGATCACAGGTCACTGCAGCCTCAGCCTCCCGAGCAGCTGGGACTACAGGTGCATCCCATCATGCCCAGCTACTTTTTTATATTTGTTTGTAGAGCTGGGGTCTCACTGTGTTGCCCAGGCTGGTCTCAAACTCCTGGGCTCAAGCAATTCTCCCGCCTTGGCCTCCCAAAGTGCTGGGATTACAGGCGTGAGCCACTGCAGCCAACAACAGAATTGTGTCGCCTCCCAGCTCTGGAGGTTGGAAGTCCAAGATCAAGGTGTTGTCAGGGTTGGTTCCTTCTGGGAGCCTTCAGGCAGAATCCGTTGCAGGCCTGTCTCCTGGCTTCTTTTGGTCATTAACTGGCAATCTTCCCTGGCTTCTAGAAGCATCACTCTGATCTCTGCCTTCATGGTCACATGGTCTTCTGTGCATGTCTGTGTCCAGGTTTCTCCTTTGTATAAGGGCGTCAGTTGTTGGATTAGGACCCACACTAATGACCTCATTTTAACTTGATTATCTCTGTAAGGACTCCAGATGTTCCCAACACAGTCACATTTGAGTTATCAGGAGTTGGGACTTCAACATATCTTTTGTATTTTTGACATGGGGTCCCACTCTCTTGCCCAGGCTAGAATGCAATGGTGCAATCAGAGCTCACTGCAGCCTCAACCTCCTGGGCTCAAGCAACCCTCCCCCTTCAGCCTTCCCAGTAGCTGGGACTATAGGCACGTGCCACCGTGCTCGGCTAATTTTTGTGTTTTTTGTGGAGATGGGGTCTCACTATGTTGCTCAGGCTGGTCTCAAACTCCAGGGCTCAAGTGATCCTCCCACCTTGGCCTCCCAAAGTACTGGGGTTGTAGGTGTGAGCCACTGTGCACTGTGCCCAGCCTGAGTTTTTTTTTTTTTTTTTTTTTTGGCGGTGGGGGCGGGGGGCCATATTTCAATCCTCCCCCTCCAGAGGCCTCAGGGATGGTCAGGCCTGGGTCTCCCGGGGGACACCCACCACCTGCCAAGCTGAGGCTGGTTCCTGGGGGTGTCTGGAGCTTCCTAGGGGAGCCACTCTGGGGAGAGGGCGTCGTGCTCCTGGGGAACTCTGTCTGTACCCCTAAGGCAATGGCACCCTGCCTGTGGGGGTCAGGCGTGGTCCCCCAGGTCACAGGGCAGACGCCCCATCTCCAGCTATCCTCACTGCCGTCCTTAGTCACTCCCCTGTCTTCAGTAAGTTTTTGCTTGGGGACCCACTGTGTGTTCAGGGAACCAGGAGACAGGAGTCGGGGAAACCAAGTTCCAGCCTCAGGAGTTTCCATTCTTCTGGGAGTAGAAAGAAAATCTAGAAGGCTGGGCACGGTGGCTCACGCCTGTAATCTCAGCACTTTGGGAGGCCGAGGCGCGTGGATCATCTGAGGTTGGGAGTTCGAGAGCAGCCTGACCAATATGGCGAAACCCCGTCTCTACTAAAAATACGAAAATTAGCCAGGTGTGGTGGCCTGTGACTGTAATCTCAGCTACTCAGGAGGCTGAGGCAGGAGAATCACTCGAGGTTCTTGAATCACTTGAGGCGGAGGTTGCAGTGAGCCAAGATCACGCCAATGCATTCCAGCCTGGGCGACAGAGCAAGACTCCGTCTCAAAACAAAACAAAGAAAAGGCCGGGAGCAGTGGCTCACGCCTGTAATCCCAACACTTTGGGAGACCAAGGCAGGTGGATCACCTGAGGTTGGGAGTTCAAGACCAGCCTGACCAACATGGCAAAACGTCATCTCTACTAAAAATACAAAAATTAGGCAGGCGTGGTGGCGTGTGACTGTAATCCTAGCTACTCAGGAGGCTGAGGCAGGAGAATTGCTTGAACCTGGGAGGTGGAGGTTGCAGTGAGCCGAGATCGCGCCACTGCACTCCAGCCTGAGCGACAGAGTGAAACTCCGTCTCAAAAAATAAATAAATAAATAAAATAAAATAAAGGAACTCTAGGAGTGGTCAAGTAAAAGTATGGAGCAGGGATGGGATGGATGAGGTTATGGACTAAATTGTATCTTCCCACCTCCCTCCCAAATGCAGAGGTTGAAGCCCTGACTCCCAGCGTGAGTGTATTTGGAGGTAGGCCCTTGAGGGAGGTAGTTAAGGTTAAATGAGATCTTAAGGGTGGGGCCCCCTACTCTCAGAGGACTGGTATCCCAATAAGAAGAGAGAGGCCGGCGCTTGTGGCTCATGCCTGTAATCCCAGCACTTTGGGAGGCCAAGGCAGGAAGATCGCTTGAGGCCAGGAGCTCAAGACCAGCCTGGGCGACATAGCGAGACCCCATCTCTACAAAAAAAATCGAAAAAGTAGCTGGGCACAGGAGCACGCACCTGTAGCCCCAGCTACTCAGGAGGCTGAGGCGGGAGGATCCCATGAGCCTGGGAGGTTGAGACTGCAATGAGCCGGGATTGTGCCACTGCACTCCAGCCTGAGCAAGAGAGCCAGACCTTGTCTCAGAAAAAAAAAAAAAAAGAGAGAGACAGCAGGGATCTGTCTCCCTTTATGCATGTCTAGAGAAGAGGCCCTGTGAGGATATAGTGAGAAGGCGGAAGAGAATTTCCACAGAAACTGAATTCGCTGGCACCTTGATCTTGGCCTTCTGGCCTCCAGAACTAGGAGGAAGTAAATTTCTGCTGTGTAAGCCGCGCAGTCTATGGCACTTTGTTATGGCAGCCCGAGCTAATAGAGAAGGTGACAATGGGGACAAGGGATGCTTCACCCTGTCTGTGTGCCAGGAGCATCCCGAGTGTCTCGTGTGTGAATTTGTCCTGTTGCACAGCTGCCCTCTGAGGTATCCCCGTTTTACCAAGAAGAAAACAGAGACACAAGAGGTCACAGCATGGCAAGGGATGCACAGGCAGGCGGTGACTGCAGGGCACTGTAATACAGGGTGGCAGAGGCCCATGTCTGCGTCTCTGGGGAGGACACCTCTGAGTCTGAGGGACACAGATGGGGACAGGCTGAGGCTGGAGGGTGGGAACCCGCATGGCTGGAGGGAGACAAGGCGGGAGTCAGAGGTGTTGGAGGGGTTAAAGCAGAAGACCCACCACTCAACATTGTCTTTTGTTTTTGTTTTTGTTTTGAGACGGAGTCTTGCTCTGTCGGCCAGGCTAGAGTCGGTGGCGTGATCTTGGCTCACCGCAACCTCTGCCTCCCAGGTTCAAGCAATTCTCCTACCTCAGCCTCCCGAGTAGCTGAGATTACAGGTCCCCGCCATCACACCTGGCTAATTTTTGTATTTTTAATAGAGATGGGGTTTCACCATGTTGGCCAGGCTGGTCTTGAACTCCTGACCTCAGGTGATCTGCCCTCCTCGGCCTCCCAAAGTGCTGGGATTACAGGCGTGAGCCACTGCGCCCGGCCAAGATTGTCTTTTAAAACACCCCTCTGGAATGGATGAACCTGGAGGACATTATGCTAAGTGAAATAAGCCAGACACAGAAAGACAAATAGTGCATGACCTCACTTATCTGTGGAATCTAAAAAAGAATTGAACTCGTAGAAGCAGAGTAGAGCAGTGGTTATGGTGGTGAGGGCACAGGGGAAGGCGGGGGATGTAGGTCAAAGGGTACAAGCTTTCAGCTTTCAGATAAACACGTTTTAACCAGGCAGAATGGCTTGTGCCTGTAATCCCAGCACTTTGGGAGGCCAAGGCGGGAGCATCGCTTGACGCCAGGAGTGCAAGGCCAGCCTGAACAACATAGCAAGACCCTGTCTCCACAAAAAAATTTAAAATCAGCCAAGCATGGTGGCACACACCTGTAATTCCAGCTACACGGAAGGCTGAGGTGGGAGGATCTCTTGAGCCCAGGAGTTCGAGGCTACAGTGAGCTTTGATGGTGCCACTGCACTCCAGCCTGGGCAACAGAGCAAGACCTCATCTCTAAAAGAAAAAAGTTCCAGAGACCTAAGGTACAGCATGGTGACTATAATTAATAATAGCAGGCCAGGTGTGGCGGCTCATACCTATAATCGCAGCACTTTGGGAGGCCGAGGCAGGCAGATTGCTTGAGCTCAAGAGTTTGAGACCAGCCTGGGCAACATGAGACTCCATCTCTACTAAAAATACAAAAATTAACCAGGCACGGTGGTGCCCACCCGTAGCCCCGGCCACTTAGGAGGCTGAGGCACGAGAATTGCTTGAACTGGGAGGGAGAAGTTGCAGTGAGCCAAGATTGCGCCACTGCACTCCAGCATGGGTGACAGAGCGAGACTCCGTCTCAAAATAATAATAATTATTATAGCATACTGTTTTCTTGAAACTTGCTGAGGAATTAGACTCAAGTGTTCTCACCACACACACCAGAAAGGTGTCTAGGTGAGGTGTTGGATGTGTTGTTAGCTTGGTTGTGGTAATCACTTCACAACACATAATGGATATCAAAATATCATGTAACCTTAAATAGATGTAATTTCTATTTGTCAATGATGCCTCAGCAAAGCTAGGGAGAAAATAAAAAGGATCCTTCTGTGCAACAGCCCGCATGTCCATTACCGATGACTGGATAAAGAAAACGTGCTCCACCCATGCAGTGGAATACTACGCAGCCATAAAACGGAATGAAGCTCGGATCCAGGCTAGAACGTAGGTGAGCCTTGGAAACGTGGCGCTGAGTGAGAGAAGCTGGACACAAAATAAGGCCAGGAATGGTGGCTCACAGCCGTAATCCCAGCACTTTACGAGGCCAAGATGGGCAGATCACTTGAGTCCAGGAGTTTGAGGCCAGCCTAGGCAACATGACGAAATCCTGCCTCTACAAAAAATACAAAAGTTAGCCAGGAGTTCATTTAGAGGAGTCATGTGACTATAGTCCCAGCTACTCAGGAGGCTGAGATGGGAGAATCACTTGAGCCTGGGAGGTGGAGGTTACAGTGAGCCGAGATTGGGCCACGGCACTCCAGCCTGGGCAACAGAGTGAGACCCCCATCTAACTGGGAAAAAAAAAAAAAAAAAGGCCACATAGCCTGTGACTCCATTTGTATGAAATGTCTAGAATAGGTAAATCCATGGAGACAGAAAGTAGATTATAAGTTACCAGGGCTGGGCGACAAGGGGAGTGGGCATTATTGTTTAGTGGGTACGGAGTTTCTATGTGGGGTGATAAAAAAGTTTTGGAGGCTGGGCACGATGGCTCATGCCTGTAATCCCAACACGTTGGGAGGCCGAGGCGGGTGGATCACTTGAGGTCAGGAGTTCCAGACTAGCCTGGCCAACATGGTGAAACCCCGTGTCTGCTCGTGGTGGTGGGCGCCTATAATCCCAGCTACTCAGGAGGCTGAGGCAGGAGAATCACTTGAACCCGGGAGGTGGAAGTTGCAGTGAGCCAAGATTGTGCCACTGCACTCCAGCCCCGGTGACAAAGTGAGACTCCGTCTCAAAAAAAGAAAAAAAAGGAGGTGGTGCCTCTGGCTGCCAGGAGAGCCTGGACGTCGGAGGCAAAGGAGCCAGAGGGCACTTGGGGAGTGGCCAGGGCCCAGGACTAGAGGGGCAGATGCTGAAGACAGATGTGTGGACCAACACTGGGGTGTTCTGGAAGTATACACAGCCCAAAGACTTACTCTTGAACTGGATTTAGGGGTGAGAGAGGAGTCAAGGGTTTCAGCTCCTGGGGTTCTGGCTGGAGGGCCTGGGAGGATGGTGGCACCGTGCACTGATGTAGGGGCTTATTTTGGTCTGGTTGGGCTGAAGGTGCCTTGGAGTTCCCGGTGGAAGTATACATGGCTCTGGGGGGTCCACTCTGGAGTCTTAGCATTCTAGGGTGCAGCCTGGGAGGAAGAGAGGGACTGCCTCTTCCGTGGGTGTCTTTGTGCCCTGACTGGCACCAGGCTGTGCACAGCACCCTCTGATGGGGCCTGTATTGGCCCAGCGTGTACGTGTACTGCTCTCCTTACCAGAACCCTGCAGAATAGCAGCGCAGAGGGAACCAGGGCCAGGGAGGTGAGGAGACCAGCTCAAGGTCACACAGGGCATGTATAAGGCAAAATTGGGATCTAGACCCATGTGGATTCGCTGCCCACACAATTTGGCATCGAGTGGCTTCCCTGCCATTTATTTATTTATTTATTTTTATTAAGAGAGGGTCTTGCTCTGTTGCCCAGACTGGAGTGCAGTGGCAGGATCATAGCTTACTGCAGCCTTGCAAACTCCTGGGCTCAAGTGATCCACCCACCTTAGCCTCCCAAAGCACTGGGATCACAGGCACGAGTCACCGTACCAAGCCAGCCATTTTTACTCCCTCTAACCAGTTCCTCTGCTCGGATGCCTGTTGCAGTGGGAAAGAAAGCGCTTGGAGACCCTGGGAGGGGAGTATCCTCAGCTTGGGGACACTGCCTCCCCTGAACCTTTCTGTGGCTGGGCAGTTGGGGGAGAAATGAGGAAGTTGAAATAAGGAAGCCACTCCCCATTCCCAAGGTAACATGCTGGAAAATGATTTGAAAGTGACACCGGCCATGTCTAGTCACAGATGTGGGGGAGATGCGGATAGGGGCTGGTGGCGGCGGCGGGGTAACACGCTGTAAAATCATCTGAAAGTGACACTGGCCGTGTCTAGTCAGGGATGTGGGGGGAGACGCGGTTGGGGGCTGGAGGTAGCTGGGGGGGATTTACTGAAGAAGCTGGGGCAGTGGAGAGGGAGCTGGTATCGGGAGTGGGCATGAGAGGGGAAGCGGGCAGAGAGCTACAGGGCTGGAGAGGGGGTGTTCAGGGCTGTCTTGCAGATATTATCTTCCCATTTCCCACGTGAGGAGACTGGGGTCTGGACCAGGTGTCCTGCCCTGTGGGGATCTTTATTTATTGAGGGCCTGTGCCGATTTGTTTTATTTATTTATTTTTGAGACAGTCTGGCTCTGTTGCCCAGGCTGGAGTGCAATGGCACAATCTCAGCTCACTGCAACCTCTACCTCTCAGGTTCAACCAGTTCTCGTGCCTCAGCCTCCCGAGTAGCTGGGATTACAGGCACCCGCCACCACGCCCGGCTAATTTTTTGGTATTTTTAGTAGAGATGGGGTTTCACCATGTTGGCCAGGCTGGTCTCGAACTCCCACCTCTGGTGATCCACCCGCCTCGGCTTCCCAAAGTGCTGGGATTACAGGCACGGGCCACCGTGCCCAGCCGTGTGCTGATTTGTAAGGGCCTCTCTCAAGAAGCTCGTGTTGATAAAAAGGTAATTTCAGGTGCTCACTTGAGAGCTGTGAATTAAAAACAGGGAAAAGGATGGCGGGTGAGGGCAGCAGGCGAGGACTGTTTTGTTTGCAGGGGGTCAGGGTAGGTCACTCTGCTGGGGTGACCTTGCGGCTGAGCCCTGAACAATGAGCAGCCGCAGCCGACATGCAGGGATCCTGCTTGGGGACTGGAACTGGAATGTTGAATGTTTCAGGAACAGGAGGGAGGACAGAATGGGGCTTGGAGAGCTTGGTGGCACCAGTTCACCCACAGCCTCTGGGCTCTAGTGAGGAACTGAGACCCCAGCAGAGACCAGGGGGTCAGTTAATGTTCGGATCAACATCATCATGTGGTCCCTTAGCTCTGAGTGAAGGGCGGATTGGGAGGCGGGCAAGGAGGCCAGGACAACATACAGGTGACATAGGATGGTGCATGGGCCTGGGTGCTGTGCTTAGAGCCAGAAGTGGGCAGGTCGCGAGGTACTTCAGAGGCAGAGCCCACAGGAGTTGCTGATGGCTTCCGTGAGGGGGATGACAGGGAAGGTGAGGAATCAAGGCAGAGTCTCAGCTTTGGGATCTGAGATTCATTCAACAAATAATTAATTCATTGCCACGTGCCAGGCCTATTCTAAAAGTTGAGGATATGAAGACAACAGTGGTGATGGCCTCACGCAGTAATCCCAGCACTTTGGGATGTTGAGGCAGGAGGATCTCTTGAGGCCAGAAGTTCATGTTCAGCCTGGGCAACATAGCAAGACCTCATCTTTGCAAAATAAAATAAATTAGCTGGATGTGATGGTGCATACCTGTGGTCTCAGCTACTAGGGAGGCCGAGGCGGGAGGATCACTTGAGCCTGGGAGGTGGAGGCTGCAGTGAGCCATGATTTCACCACTGCACTCCAGCCTGAGTGACAGAGCAAGACCCTATCTCTAAAAAAATAAAAGTAAATAAAAGTTGGGGATACGGCCACCATGAGCAAAACAGTTCAATGATCCCTGCCCCATGAAGAGGACATTCTATACACCAGGTGAATAGTTCTATCTGAGCAGAGGCCTGAAGGAGCCAGCCATGTGGACAGTGGGTTGGCAGAAGCTACAGGTGGAGGAAGCAACAGGTGCAAAGGCCCTGGGGCAAGGCCTGCTGTGGTCCAGGAATAGCAGGAGTGGCTGGAGCAGAAATGGGGTCAGGGAGCTAACTGGGCCAATTACAAGGGTTTTGGTTTTCAGCAGGGAAATGGTAGTGGGGGCTCTGATGAGAGATTCCAGGCTGGACATAAGAGATTTGAAAGTGCTGGCTCAATGATGGTACTGAGAGCCCAGGACAGCCTGAGATGGGACAGGCTGGGATGACAGCTGGATATGACAGAGCAGGGGTTCCCACGCTTCAGGGCCTGCCTCAGAGAATGTGTGTTTCTGGCCAGCACAGTGGCTCACGCCTGTAATCCCAGCACTTTGGGAGACTGAGGTGGGAGGATCATTTGAGGCCAGGAGTTCAAGACCAGCTTGGGCAACATAGCAAGATCCTGTCTCTATAAGACATTTTAAAATTAGCTGGGCGTGGTGGCGAGAGCCTGTGGTCCCAGCTACTCGAAAGGCTGAAGTAGGAGCATCACTTGAACCCAGGATCTGGAGGTTGCAGTGAGCCGTCATTGTGCCACTGTACTCCAGCCTGGGCAACAGAGCAAGACCCTGTCTCTTAAAAAAAGAAAGAGAGAGAGAGAATGTGTGTTTCTACCAAGTTCCTGGCAAGGCTGATGCCAGTGTGCTGGGACCACACCTGGAGAACCAGGGTGTAGATAAAGCAAAGAGCTGAGGACAGACATTTGAGCGTGCAAGCCTGAGAGGATTTGGGGAGACTGAGGCGGGGAGAGAGGTGAGAAGGAGCAGCCATAAGGCAGGAAGAAACCAGTTAGAACCGAGTCCTGGACTGGGCACAGTGGCTCACTCCTGTAATCCCAAAGTTTTGGGGGGCCCAGGCAGGAAGATCCCTTAAGCCCAGGAGTTTGAGATCAGTCTGGGCAACATAGCAAGACCTCCTCTCTGCAGCAAATTTAAAAATTAGCTGGTGGTGCTGGGCGCTGTGGCTCACGCCTGTAATCCCAGCACTTTGGGAGGCCGAGACGGGCGGATCACGAGGTCAGGAGATAGAGACCATCCTGGCTAACACGGTGAAACCCCATCTCGACTAAAAATACAAAAAATTAGCCGGGCGTGTTGGTGGGTGCCTGTAGTCCCAGCTACTCGGGAGGCTGAGGCAGGAGAATGGCGTGAACCCAGGAGGCGGAGCTTGCAGTGAGCTGAGTCTGTGCCACTGCACTCCAGCCTGGGGGACAGAGCACGACTCCGTCTCAGAAAAAAAAATAAATAAATAAATAAATAAATAAATAAATAAATAAATAAAATAAAAATTAGCTGGTGGTAGTGGTGCAAGCCTGTGATTTCAGCTACTTGGGAGGCTGAGGTGGGAGGATTCCTTGAGTCTGGGAGGTTGAGGCTGCAGTGAGCTGTGATTATATCATTGCACTCCAGCCTGGGCAACAGAGTGAGACCTGGTTTCTAAAATTTAAAAAAATAATAATAATGAAAAAAAAAACTGAGCCGCTGTGCCTGGGGACAGAGCAGGTGGGGAGGATGGCAGGGGACAGCACACAATTCTCACCCCTCCCCCATCTCCCCTGGCCCCCCCAGAGGGGGAGGCAGTGTCCGCCTCCCACCCCGCCTGCCTGTCTCCAGCTTACCCTGAAGGTCCCCCAGAGAGGAAAGAGGGGACTCGGGCGTCCCTGGTTCCCGATCTGTGGCGCCAGCTGGATTCTAATTAGCCACCAGAGCTTGAGAGACAGGAAGCAGGGGGCTGGGGGCGGGGGCTTGGATTTCTGCCCAAGACGGGGAGGCTGCAAGTTGGGTTGCAATGAGTCCCTCACTTGGGAGGACACTCATTACCTCCTTGCTCATGGTGAGGATGCGAGTAGGGGAGATGAGTGGGCAGGGTCAGGACAGGGGCATGGGGAAGAGGCTTCCAGAGGGTCCAAGGCCTGCCTGGGATCTCCCCGTGAGCTGTCCCAGGAGGTTCCAGTGGGGAAGAGTTGGCAGTCTCTTTGCCCAGAGGTGCCCAGATAGCTGGGTCTGGCTGCTGGGTGTAAGGGTGGGGGGTGTGGTGTGAGCTGCAGACCCCGGAGGGGGCCCTACAGATAGGGCTGGCTCGAGGGACGTGCTGGACCTCAGCCTCTCAGAGCTACTCAGCCACCAGCAGGAGGAGAGGGGAGCGGCCTGGAGGCCCTATCCCCACCTCAGTCTCCCTGTCCTCCCCCAGGCTGGTGGTCCAGGCCGTGGTGCCTGCCAGGTGATGTGGGGCAAAGCCCCCCGCACAGGCCACTGAGAGCTCCGGACACGCACCCGGCTGCCACCATGGCCCGCCTAGCCGCAGTGCTCTGGAATCTGTGTGTCACCGCCGTCCTGGTCACCTCGGCCACCCAAGGTAGGTGCTGCTGGGGCCGGGGAGGGGCCGCGGCTCCCAAACCCTTCTGGGGGGGGCAGATAAAATGTTGAAAACCCTCCTGATCACTCAGTAAAGAATTACAGCCCCCTGCCCCGCCCCAGACCTCAGCTGGAGCAGGCCAGTGGAAGACTCAGGGGTAACACACACCCCAGTGCCACCAAGAGGCCCCTGGACCATCCTCTTACCTCCAACAAGTCGGCTGGGCCAGGTTGGTAGGGGCCATCCCGCTGTGGCCCCTGGGACCAGGACAGGCCTTCTTGGTGAGCCGATGCTCCTCTCTCTGTCTCTCTCTCGCTCTCTCTCTCTCTCTCTCTCTCTGTGATTACATCTTCGAGGCTCTCACTGGGAAGAAGGCTTAATTAAAGCATGCCCGCTGACGTTTATTTAAAAACAACTAATTACCCGGCTCGGCCCTATGCCGGCCCTAGGATCCTGCACACGCCACTATTAGTGCCCCAAGCCTGCCCGCCCACCCTCACCGATTACTCGATTACTGGCCCCGTGACCAGCCCAGGCCGGGGGCAAGGGCGGGATAAGGTGAGAGGCCAAGAGAAGAGGCCAGTAGGCCCGGCCCCTCACTCTGGGATGTGCCCCCTGCCCACCCCGACATCCCTGTATGAAGGGCATTGGCGGGTGACTCTGCTCCCTCTGGCCCTGCCCTCTGGAAAGCTCCAAAGGTTGAAGGGACACGGTTCAGCTGGGCCCCAGGGCCTTGGCACTGCCCCGCTGGCCAGCAACCTCACTCCTCTGCTGCTACGTTCTCTGCCCATCCAGGTCCTGCCCCATAGCCCCAGCTGGGCCGGGAGGGCTGCCTCCACCCCCAGACCCATCTGAGCCAGCCTTCCACCCCCGGCCCTCCCTCCCAAGCCCGGGAAGGCTAAAATTAGATGAGGAGGCAGATGGTGCTGGAGGAACACATGTGAAATGTTCCCCCCGCTGGGACTCAACTCACCCCAAAAAACCCCAAGGGCCTCCCTGCCATACCCCTGGGGTACCCACCCAGATCTCTGGAAAGGCTCAGCTCTGTCACCGTCCCGCACGAGTGCCCTCCCGAAACCTCGTACAGCAGGTGGTCACTTCCTTCACCTACAAGCGACGGTCCCCACATTGGGGCATCTGGGTCCCTGGCTGAATCCCTGCTGCCCTCCAGCACCCCGCAGGGCCTGGCTGGAACCAGCGTCACAGAAGGTGCTGCCCCGGCCAGCATGGACCCTGCCAGGCACCCTCTGTTGTGCAGACAAACCGCCTTAATAATATTCATAATAACAATAATTAGCATTCATATCATCTCACTGCGCTCTGCACACATTAACACCCTGGAGCCATCACAACAGTCCTGTGAGATGGGAATTGTCCTCTCTGCCCCTCAGGGGAGGGACAGAGGCACAGAGGCGGTCAGTGACTTGGATGAGGCTGCAGCCAGGGAGTGGCCGGGCTGGAATTCCAACCCCAGCCATCTGTCTGGCTCCTACATTCTAGTTCTCCATCCCCGTGTGGTACAAGGTGATGACCAACATGGGGCAACGCAATCCCCCCAGGGAGCTCAGCCTGCTCAGAACATGTCCCTTCCTTGTCACAGTGAAATCCTTGGAGGTTCACCAGATGATACTGATCAGGCACCCTCCGTGTGCAGGGTGCCATGCTCAGTGCTTTCCTTCAAGAGCATTTTCTAAGGCACAGGATCCCTGCAGGATGACCCGGGGCTGTAGGTGCTCATTTTACAGATTGGGAAACTGAGGCTTGGGGAAAGAAGAACGGTGGCTGTTCAAACTTTTTAAATGTTTTTATTTTGAGATGGAGTTTTGCTCTTGTCGCCCAGGCTGGAGTGCAGTGGTGTGATCTCGGCTCACTGCAACCTCTGCCTCCCGGGTTCAAGCGATTCTCCTGCCTCAGCCTCCCGAGTAGCTGGGATTACAGCCGCCTGCCACCATGCCCGGCTAATTTTTTGTATTTTTAGTAGAGACAGGGTTTCACCATGTTGGCCAGGCTAGTCTCGAATTCCTGACCTCTGGTGATCCACCCACCTCGGCCTTCCAAAGTGCTGGGATTACAGGCGTGAACCACCGCGCCCAGCCACTGTTCGAACTTGAGCATGCATCACCATCACCTGGTTGGCACATAGCCCTGCAGGCTCCTGGCCTCACCCCTGGGATTTTGATCCAGCAGGCCGAGTATGGGGCCCGAATCTGCATTCTGAACCAGACTTCACATCTGCCCTGTCAGCGGCAAAGCCAGTCTCTATGGTTTCTTCTAGAAACATGAGTTCATTCCCATGTTTTCTCTGCTCCTCGCATGGGGTGGGGTGAAGTTAGGGAAGTCCCCAAGCCAAGCCTCACTTCTGACACCAATGACAAGTTTGGGGGTCCCCCAGAGAACACTCAGGTATGATCATTCACTAGAAGGACTTGGAACTAACTAGATGTTATGCTCACAGTTTATTTATTTTTTATTTATTTATTTTTTCGAGATGGAGTCTCGCTCTGTCGCCCAGGCTGGAGTGCAGTGGTGTGATCTCGGCTCACTGCAAGCTCTACCTCCCAGGTTCACACCATTCTCCTGCCTCAGCCTCCTGAGTAGCTGGGACTATAGGTGCCTGCCACCACGCCCGGCTAATTTGCTCACAGTTTATTACATCAAAAGGATACAGATTAAAATCAGGGCCAGGTGCACTGGCTCACTCCTGTAATCCCAACACTTTGGGAAGCCAAGGTGGGAGGATTGCTTGAGCTCAAGAGTTTGAGACCAGCCTGGGCAACATAGCAAGTACCCCCATCACTACAAAAAATAAAAAAAAATTAGCCAGGCATGGTGGTATGTGCCTGTAGTCCCAGCTACTCGGGAGGCTGAGGCAGGAGGATCCCCTGAGCCCAGGAGTTTGAGGCTGCAGTGAGCTATGATCACACCACTGTGCTCTAACCTTGGTGACAGGGTGAGACCCTGTCTGAAAAAACAAACAGGCCAGGCGTGGTGGCTCATGCCTGTAATCCCAGCACTTTGGGAGGCTCAGGCGGGCGGATCACCTGAGGTCAGGAGTTTGAGACCAGCCTGGCCAACATGGCAAAACCCCGTCTCTACTAAAAATACAAAAATTAGTGGGGTGTGGTGGCAGGCGCCTGTAATCCCAGCTACTTGGGAGGCTGAGGCAGGAGAATCGCTTGAACCTGGGAGGCAGAGGTTGCAGTGAGCTGAGATCGCGCCATTCCACTCCAGCCTGGGTGACAGAGCGAGACTCTGTCTCAAAACAAATAGAAGTCAGGCAAGGGAAGAGGTGCATAGGGCAGAGTCCAAGAAAGTTCCATGCATGGAGTTTCCAGTTACTCCCTTCAGTGGAGTCCTGGACAGTGTTAACTCTCCCGGCAACAATGTGTGACAACACACATGGTGTACTGCCAACCATAGAGGCTCCCCCAAGCCTTGTTATCCAGGGTTTGTATTGGAGCTCAGTTCTGTACTCTGTAGCCCTGATAGACCACCTACAGGGCTGAGCTGAATCTCTAGCATCTCTAGAAGTCAGCTGAGACTATGTGACCCAAAGCTCCTGCCCCAAGTCCTGTTAGCATATTCATTAACTAGGGCCGCCCTAACAAAGTACCAGAGACCATGTGTCTTTGTTTGTCGCCCAGGCTGGAGTACAGTGGCATGATCTCTGCATGCCATCACTGCAACCTCCGCCTCCTGGGTTCAAGCAATTGTCCTGCCTCGCCTCCCAAGTAGCTGGGATTACAGGTGCCTGCCACCACACCCGGCTAATTTTTGTAGTTTTTTAAGTAGAGATGGGGGTTTCACCATGTTGGCCAGGCTGGTCTCAAACTCCTGACCTCAGGTGATTCGCCCACCTCGACCTCCCAAAGTCCTGGGATTACAGGTGTGAGCCACCGAGCCCGGCCTAGACCATGTGTCTTAAGCAACAGACATTGATTGTCTCACAGTTGCAGAGGCCAGAAGTCTGAGGTCAAGGTATCAGCCAGGGTTGGTTCCTTCTGAGGCCTCTCTCCTTGGCATTTATTTGTTTGTTTGTTTGATGGAGTCTCGCTCTGTCGCCCAGGCTGTAGTGCAGTGGTGCAATCTCAGCTCACTGCAAGCCCTGCCTCCTGGGTTCAGGCCATTCTCCTTCCTCAGCCTCCCAAGTAGCTGGGACTACAGGTGCCCGCCACCATGCCCAGCTAATTTTTTGTATTTTTGGTAGAGATGGGGTTTCACCGTTTTAGCCAGGATGGTCTCAATCACCTCACCTCATGATCTGCCCACCCTGGCCTCTCAAAGTGCTGGGATTATAGGCGTGAGCCACCGTGCCTGACCTATTTTTTTTTTATTTTTTATTTATTTTTGAGATGGAATGTCACTCTGTCACCCAGGCTGGAGTGCAGTGGCACGATCTGGGCTCACTGCAATCTCTGCCTCCCCAGCTCAAGTGATTCTCCTGCCTCAGCCTCTCAAGTCGCTGGGATTACAGGCACATGCCACCACGTCCAGCTGATTTTTGTATTTTTAGTAGAGATGGGGTTTCACCACGTTGGCCAGGCTGGTCTCAAACTCCTGACCTCAGGTGATCCACCCGCCTCAGCCTCCCAAAGTGCGGGGATTACAGGTGTGAGCCACCGCGCCTGGCCTCTCCTTGGCTTATAGATAGATGGCCGCCTGCTCCTGTGTCTTCACATTGTCTTCCCCCTGTACACTTCTGTGCCCAAATTTCTCCTTTTAGCCAGGTGCGAGGACTCAGGCCCATAATCCTAGCACTTTGAGAGGCCAAGGCAGGAGGATTGCTTGAGACCAGACTAGCTTGGGCAACATAGAAAAGGGACCCATTTCTATGAAACAATGTAAAAAATTAGCCGGACATGGTGGCGTGAATCTGTAGTTCCAGCTACTTGGGAGGTTGAGGCAGGATCACCTGAGCCCAGGAGGTTGAGACTTGCAGTGAGCCATGATCGCACCACTGCACTCCAGCCTGGGTGACAGAGGAAGATCCTATCTTAACAACAACGCCCCACCCCCTCTTTTTTTATTGAGATAGGGTCTCGCTCTGTTGCCCAGGCTAGAGTGCAATGGCACAATCATGGCTTACTGGAGCCTCAACCTCCTGGGCTGAGGTGATCCTCCCACCTCAGCCTCCCCAGTAGCTGGGACTACAGGTGTGTGCCACCACGTCTGGCTAATTTGTGTATTTTTGGTAGAGACAGGGTTTCACTATATTGCTCAGGCTGGTCTCAAACTCCTGGGTTCAGGCGATTTGCCCACCTCTGTCTCCCAAAATGCTGGGGTTACAAGTGTGTGCCTCTGTGCCTGGCCAAAATTGCCCGTTTTTATAAGGACCACAGTCATATTGGATTGGGGCCTACCCTAATAGCCTCATTTGAATTTATCTCTATAAAGACCTTATCTCCAAATAATGTCACATTTTCAGGTCCTGGGGGTTAGGACTTCAGCATATGAATTTTCAGGGGAACACAGTTCAATCCATAACAGCATATCTGGTGTAGCCCGAGGACCCCAGGAAAACAGTCACTCTTATCAAGCAGAGCATTCCAAAGGCTCAGACGTCACTTCCTAGGAGCTGAGAGTCCAGGCACTCTCTGGGCCAGGTTAATGTCCTCACTACACAAGTGGGCACACTGAGAGGCCCATTCTACAGCTGAATCAACTGAGGCTGCCTCAGCTGGCTTCCAGGACACAGCCGAGCCAGAGGTGGTGTTTTCTTGGCAGTGGGTAGGGTCTTCCCTTCCTGGCCCAGGCCCAGGAGTGACACCATCCCCAACCCTCCCTGCAGGCCTGAGCCGGGCCGGGCTCCCGTTCGGGCTGATGCGCCGGGAGCTGGCGTGTGAAGGCTACCCCATCGAGCTGCGGTGCCCCGGCAGCGACGTCATCATGGTGGAGAATGCCAACTACGGGCGCACGGACGACAAGATTTGCGATGCTGACCCTTTCCAGATGGAGAATGTGCAGTGCTACCTGCCGGACGCCTTCAAGATCATGTCACAGAGGTGAGTGGGCTCTCGTGGCAGTTCCTGGATGAAGTGCCCGCCTAAAAGCACTGCACACCTGCCAGCACACCCGTTCACCTTACATCTTTTTTTTATGCATTCAACACATGTTTACTGAGCACTTAATAGGTGCTGGGCCCCATGCAGACGAGAATAAGACCCAGTACATCTCCCCACAGCCAGCCTGTGCCCCCGACAGAGGCCTATACCCATACATACACTGGGAAGTCCCTCCCCCCACCAGCCTCTTGCTTCCATAACTTCCATCCCAAGATTAGCCAGGGCAGTTTGTTTGTTTGTTTTTGAGATGGAGTCTTACTCTGTTACCAGGCTGGAGCGTGGTGGCATCTCAGCTCACTGCAACCTCCACCTCCTGGGTTTAGGCGATTCTTCTGCCTCAGCCTCCCAAGTAGCTGGGGATTATAGGCGCACGCCACCACGCCTGACTAATTTTTTTGTATTTTTAGTAGAGACAGGGTTTTGTAATTGGCCAGGCAGGTCTCGAACTCCTGACCTCAGGTGATCTGCCCACCTCGACCTCCCAAAGTGCTGGCATTACAGGCATGAGATGAGCCATCACACCCAGCCTTAGCCAGGGCAGTTTGGAGCTTGTAAAATATAAAGAACAGCAGGACAGAGCGAAGGTGTCATGGGAGGACTTTTCCCTTCATCCCAGACTCTTTTTTTTTTTTTGAAGATAGGGTCTCACTGTTGCCTAGGCTGGAGCACAGTGGCACAATCACAGCTCACTGCAGCTGTGACCTCTCAGGTTCAAGCAATCCCCCTGCCTCAGCCTCCTGAGTAGCTGGGACTACAGGCGCCTGCCACCATGCCTGGCTAATTTTATTTTATTTTTTGTAGAGGCAGGGTCTTGCTATGTTGCCCAGGCTGGTCTTAAACTCCTGGCCTCAAGCAATCCTCCTGCCTCGGCCTCTCAAAGCGCTGGGATGACAGGCATGAGCCACCGCACCCACCCATCCCAGATTTGAGAGCTCATCAGGCTACTCCAAGGAGGAGACACCTGAGCACAGATGATAGAAGCACAGGCCTGTGTGAGTGATTGTGTGTGGGGTGAATGCTTGAGCATGCAAGACTGTAACTTGGAGTGTGTCTGTGTGATTGCATGCATCTATGAGTATGACGGTGTATTTGTTTTATTTTATTTAGTTATTTAATTTTTGAGACAGAGTCTCAGTCTGTCACCCAGGCTGGAGTGCAGTGGTGCGATCTTGGCTCACTGCCACCTCCGCTTCCTGGGTTCAAGCGATTCTCCTGCCTCAGCCTCCCGAGTAGCTAGGACTACAGGCGCGCACCACCACGCCAAGCTAATTTTTTTGTATTTTTAATAGAGACGGGGTGTCACCATCTTGGCCAGGATGGTCTCGATCTCTTGACCTCATGATCCGCCCACTTGGCCTCCCAAAGTGCTGGGACTACAGGTGTAAGCCACTGCGCCCGGCCTGTTTTGTTTATTTTTGAGACAGAATCTTGCTCTGTCGCCCAGGCTGCAGTGCAGTGGTGTGATCTCAGCTCATTGCAACCTCCACCTCCAGGGTTCAAGCAATTCTCCCGCCTCAGCCTCCCGAGTAGCTGGGATTACAGGTACGCACCATCATGCCCAGCTTATTTTTGTATTTTTGTACAGACAGGGTTTTACCATGTTGGCCAGGTTGGTCTTGAACTCCTGACCTCAGGTGATTCACCTGCCTGCCTTGGCCCCCTTAAGTGCTGGGATTACAGGCGTGAGCCACTGCGCCTGGCCTGTGTGTGTATTTGAGTGTGAGTATGTGTGCATTTTTGAGTGTGTGACTAAATGTGTGTGATTGTGACTAAGTGTGTCTGTGTGTCTAAGTGTATGTGAACAGGTGTAGGTGTGTGCAGATGTGTGTGACTAAACATGTCTTTGAGTGTGTCTGAGTGTGTCTGTATGAGTGTGTATTGGAGTGTGTATCTGGGTGGGTGGATGTGTGTGTGAATGTGGGTGTTTGTGGGTGAATATGTGGTTATATGAGTGTATTTGGGTGTGTTTAAGTGTACGTGAGCGGGTGTGGGTGTGAGCATGTGTGTGAGCGGGTGTGGCTGACTGAGGTGTGTGTTTTCATATCTGTGAGTGGTGAGGTGGATGGGTGCACGTGTGTGGGGGTGGGTGGGTGTGGCTGTGTCTTTGTGTATTTAACTGTGTCTGTGGGCAGATGTGTGTATGTGGATGAGGGTTTGTGTGTGGTTGACTGAGAGTGTATTTGTATTTCTTTGAGTTGTTTGTGATTGTGTGAGCGTGGAGGGGTTGCCCCAGGCTGAGGCACCACGTGTGCAAATCTGCACAAGCCTCTCTCACACCCACAGTCAGTCCATGTAGAGCTGATCAGCCTTTCCTTCAAATTACACCCAGGCTGGACGCGGTGGCTCACGCCTGTAATCACAGAACTTTGGGAGGCTGAGGCAGGGGGATCGCTTTAGGTCAGGAGTTCGAGACCAGACTGGGCAACATAGCAAGACCCTGTCTCTACTAGAAACTAAAAAATAAATTAGCCAGTCATGGTGTGTGCCTGTGGTCCCAGCTACTCAGATGACCGATGCAGGAGGATCACTTGGGCCCGGGAGTTTGAGGCTTCAATGAGCTATGATCCCACCACTGCACTCCAGCCTGGGTGACTGAGCAAGACCCTGTCTCTAAAAAAAAAAAAAAAAAAAAACAGACCAGGTGCAGTGTTTCACGCCTGTAATCCCAGCACTTTGGGAGGCCATGGCGGGTGGATCACTTGAGGTCAGGAGTTCGAGACCAACCTGGCCAACATGGTGAAACCCTGTCTCTACCAAAAATACAAAAATTAGCCTGATACGGTGGTGTGAGCCTGTAGTCCCAGATACTTGGGAGGCTGAGGCAGGAGAATCGCTTGAACCTTGGAGGCAGAGGTTGCAGTGAACCAAGATAACACCACTGCACTCCAGCCTAGGTGACAGAGTGAGACTCTGTCTCAAAAAAAAAAAAAAAAAATGTGTGTTACCAGGGGAGGAGCGGGTCACTGAGAGCCCCAGGAGAGCAGGAGAGGTTTGGGCAGGGGATGACAGTGTTCAGGTGGCTGAGATAGCTGGGCTGGGCTGGGCTGGAGGCACCTCATCATCTCCTCCTCTCTGCCTCTCTCTCAAACTGCCATTCCCCTCCAGCAATCTTGCCTCTCTTCCCCGCTTCCTGTCCCCTGACACCCCTGCCGAGGGTGCCCTGCATAGGCATTCCCAGTCCAGGCTCTAGCCTTTGCTTAGGCTGTGGGCCCCCTCCCTGGGAGCCCCCTTCCTCCCACCTCTCCAAATTCTCCCTGCTGACTTCATTCAACACCAGCTTTGGGGGACTGCATTCTTCTCCATTATCTCTCTAGCACCTAGTACAGCATCTGGCCCAGTTCCCATGTCCGTGGGGAATGCTGTGCAGAATAGTTACCGGGGCTGAGGGAGTGTGATGAGGCCTCTGGAGTCACATCCAGAAGGACTTGTAGGGGGCCTTAGTCCTGCTTCCTCTCCGCTGAGTCCCCAACCCCCACTGCTCCACAACCAAGCCTGGAGACTCTTTTTTTTTTTTTTTTTTTTTTTTTGAGACGGAGTCTTGCTCTCCCCCAGGCTGGAGTGCAGTGGCATGATCTCGGCTCACTGCAACCTCCGCTTTCCGGTTCAAACAGTCCTCCTGCTTCAGCCTCGCAAGTGGCTGGGACTACAAGCATGCACCACCACGCCCGGCTAATTTTTGTATTTTTAGTAAAGACGACGTTTCACCATGTTGGCCAGGCTGGTCTCAAACTTCTGACCTCAATTGATCTGCCAGTCTTGGCCTCCCAAAGTGCTGGGATTATAGCCATGAGCCACTGCGCCCAGCCTAGCTGTTCATTTGTTGGTGGATGTTTGGGCTGCCTCCACGTTTGTGGTGATTGTGAATAATGCAGCTGTGAACGTGCGTGTACAACGATTTGCTTAAACACTTGTTTTAAATTCTTTTGGGTACAGTAATCCCCACTTACCCACTGGGGAAACGCTCCAAGAACCCCAGTGGATGCCTAAACTGCAGAGAGCTACTGAACCTTGTATATACCATGTTTTCTCCTATACAGCTCTAATTATAATAAAGTTTAATTTACAAATTAGGCACAGCTAGATGCGGTGGCTCATGCCTGTAATCCCAGCACTTCGGGAAGTCGAGACTACAATGAGCCATGATCACACCGCTGCTCTCCGTCCTGGGCAATAGAGTAAGACCCTGTCTAAAAAATAATAAAATAAAATAGGCTGGGTGTGATGGCTCATGATTGTAATCCCAGCACTTTGGGAGGTCGAGACGGGTAGATTGTTTGAACCCAGGAGTTTGAGACCAGCCTAGGCAACACGGCAAAACCCCATCTCTACTAAAAATACAAAAAATTAGCAGGGCATGGTGGCACATACCTGTAGTCCCAGCTCCTTGGGAGGCAGAGGCTGGAGGATCACTTGAGCCTGGGAGGCCGAGGCTGCAGTGAGCCAAGATTGTACCACTGCACTCCAGCCTCGGTGACAGAGCGGGACCCTGTCTCAAAACATAATAATAATAAAATACGTTAGGCACAGTGAGAGACTAACAACAACAATAATAATTTTTAGTAGTAAAATATTGTTACATAAACTAAGGGCTACTTGAACATAAGCACTGTGAAACCGTGACAGTTGATGGATAACTGAGATGACCACTAGTGACTAACAGACAGGGAGCAAATACAGCATGGACACGCCCCATACAGCATGAGATTTCATCAGGCTACTCACAACAGCACACAACTTAAAATGTATGAATTGTCTACTTCTGGAGTACAGCGGTGCGATCTCGGCTCACTGCAACCTCTGCCTCCTGGGTTCTAGCGATTCTTGGGCCTCAGCCTCCCGAGTAGCTGGGATTACCGGTGCGCCCCACCACGCCTGGCTAATTTTTGTTTATTTAGTAGAGATGGGGTTTTACCATGTTGGCCAGGCTGCTCTCAAGCTCCTGGCTTCAAGTGATCCATCCACCACGGCCTCCCAAAGTTCTGGGATTACAGGTGTGAGCCACTGCACCCTGCCCCAGTGTTCTATTTTTTGTTTTCTTTTGTTTTGTTTGAGACGGAGTCTTACTCTGTCACCCAGGCTGGAGTGCAGTGGCTCAGTCTTGGCTCACTGCAACCTCCGCCTCCTGGGTTCAAGTGATTCTTCTGCCTTAGCCTCCTGTGTAGCTGGGATTACAGACATGCACCACCACGCCTGGCTAGTTTTTGTATTTTTAGTAGAGACAGGGTTTCACTATGTTGGTCAGGCTGGTTTCAAACTTCTGACATCAGGTGATCCACCCGCCTTGGCCTCCCAAAGTGCTGGGATTACAGGCGTGAGCCACCACGCCCAGCCAGTGTTCTATTTTTAAAGAAGAGGATGAGGTGGATGGATACAGACAGATCTTCCCACACCCCATCCTGCCCCCCATTTTTCTCTCTCCCTGCTAGATCCTTAGTCCCTTCTCAAGTGTCTGCCTGTGTTTAGTACCCTTGGTTAAGAGCAGGATTGAAGGGGAGACACAGGGCCTCTTCTGCCCCATACCTGTCGGGAAGCCTCTCAAACTATGTCCTGCATGCCCGTGTCCTGCCTGGCCTAGCCCCAGCCTGCTGCAAGGGACAGAGACCCTGACAGTGGGGACAGACAGCAGATGAGACACACCTTTTTGTTAAATAGGTTCCCCCTTACATGCTAGCCAGCCCCCTGGGAAGTTGACAGTGACTTGGAGGAGTTGCCTCTTGGGAACCGAGAATGGCTTTCCCCTGGGGATGCTCTCTCCTGGCTGCCCTGGCTATAAGTCTGCACAGCAGCACTGCCCAAAGGGTGGGATGTGTCCACGAGATGGTGTGAAGTGGACACAGCTGGACACTGAACATTTCATTGATCGTAAGTTTGCAGAGACACCACCTCACGTGCATGGCTTCACATGTATTACTCTCCAGTGAACAGCGCAGGGGCTTTAAAGTCCATTTAAAGAAAAATGCCAAGGATATAATAGTGTCAGCTACACTCACAATGAAAGAGATGAGGGGTGGCCAGGAAAGCACTGTTTAGCGGGTGACTCCTCCTTCTTAGCCCTGAGGATGATGCTGTGCTGGGGCTGAAAATAGAAGAACCCTGGTGGGAAAGAGAGAGCAGGCAGGAAACAAAAAGTGCCCACACAAGTCCTCTGGGCTTGGTGTGTTAGTTCGTTCTTATACTGGTATAAAGAAATACCTGAGATTGGGTAGTTTATAAAGAAAAGACATTTAATTGGCTCATAGTTCTGCAGGCTGTACAGGAAGCATAGTAGCTTCTGCTTCTGGGGAGGCCTCAGGAAACTTACAATCACAGCAGAAGGTGAAGGGGAAGCAGGCACGCCGTACATGGCTGGAGTAGGAGGAAAAGAGAACAGGGGAGGTGCTACACACTTTTAAACAACCAGATCTCAACAGCACGGAGGGGATGGTGATAAACCATTCATTAGAAACTGCCCCCATGATCCAATCACCTCCCACCAGGCCCCACCTCCAACACTGGAGATCACAATTCAACATGAGATTTGGGTATGGACACAGATCCAAACTATATCACTTGGTTTCCAGCTCCACTGCCCCTTCCCAATTTGGGGGTGTCTATGACACCATGACCCTGGAGCATGCACCCCCACCCCCGCCACCCCGTCTATGTGTTTCTTTCCCAATGCCCTGTTTCTCCTCTGAAGGTGTAACAACCGCACCCAGTGCGTGGTGGTCGCCGGCTCGGATGCCTTTCCTGACCCCTGTCCTGGGACCTACAAGTACCTGGAGGTGCAGTACGACTGTGTCCCCTACAGTGAGTCATCTTGTTCCTTGTGCGGATGCGGGCCCTTCTCGCATGAGTGAGTGAGGAGGAGACACCTTGACCCATCACACATGTGCACACATGCATGGGGCCTGGGCACAGTGGGGACAGCCGGGCCTGCTCTCTCCAACACACATTCTCTAATCCCAGACACCAGTGTCCACACTCAGTGCCTGCTCCCCCGCCTCACAGACTCTGTCCCCTCCTGTGGGGACACCTTCTCCAGCTCTCCTTACCCCAGCCCACTCACCCTGCTTCTTCATGCACCCTATACTCATTTCCACACTGCCAGGCCATGGTCCCGTGCTCTGCCTGGCACACTTACGTCTCTCTCTTCTCCCTTGGCCTCTATGCTTTTCTCCCCCATCTGCCTCCCTCGCCTTCTCACATCCCTTCCTTTTCTGACTCTTCTGACCTTTTCTGACCCTTCTCATCTACCTTCTCTTCCCTCTCACTTACCCCACTGCCCCTCTCAACACCGTTCTCTCAGCACCCTCACTCCCCACACACTTCTTCCCAATCATGGAAGCTGGACTCTACACCCATAGAGTGGGATACCATCCTCTGAGGCCTGGTGGCAGATTCAGGGTGAAGGGCTGGGGGGCATTTTCAACAGATTCATAGCTCCTCACTGGTCTCCCCATTACCATGTGGCACTTCCTGTCTGCAAAGGAAATGCCGCCATGTTGGACTGAGGGTGGCCTCCAGGCAGCCTGAAGAAAGTGATTTGGGGAGCCAGGAGCCTGGCCATCTTGCACCTGGCCAAAGGGATCAGACAAAGACAAGGTCTCTCCTCCTCAGCACCCCACCCTTGACATCACCTTTTTCCTGCCCTCTCTCCTCCCTCCCTCCTTCCCATTATCCCTTCCCTTCTCCTCCCACAATGGGTTCCATGTAGTCAACCTGGTGGTAGGGCCTCCGGGAAGAGTGGGGAGAAGGCAGGGCCATCAGGGTGTCTGAGTGTGGCGGGCCGGGTTTGGGGACTAAGAGGCCCTGTAACTCTCCCTCCTCTCCCCTCCCACCCCAACCTTCCCTGCCAGCCTTTGATTTCTCCTCACAGGTGACTCGATGCTGGGGAAACAGGATCCCTTCTGTGCTTCCGTAATTTTCTTCTTTTACTCTTCGTCCTTTCCTTTCAGCGCTTGAGGCCTTCAGCCACCACCGAGGGGGATGCCCATCTGCTCCTTGAAGCCTCCCCACAGCACTGGGGACACGGCTGACTCCCGCGGCTGGGACAGCGGGGAAGGGGGGTGGGAGGCAGCGAGCTCAGCACAGGGGGGCAGTCAGATGGGTGTAGGTTCAAGGCTCGACTGGGCTCTTGAGTTTTCTGGCTCTGAAACCTTGAGCAAATGATTTAATTTCTCTGGGCCACTACGGAAGGAGGTGTGAGTCCATGAGATGACATGTGAGAAGCGCTTGGCCCAGGGCCGGCCACAAAGTCGCTCCTGGTGGCAGGGTTTTGAGTGCCGAGTGTAAACTTCCCAAGGGCAGAGGCTTCGTCTTCACCCGCCGCCCCAGCGCCCAGACCCATGCCTGGTTCAGGATGTGCTCAGTAATATTACCAATGCCCTTTAAGCCAGCTGAGCCTGTTTATTCATCTGTGATGGGGTGGAGAGGGGTCAAAAGCCTTCCCTGGGAAGCCACAAGGAGTAGCGACAACGCATGTCAAGCTTGTGTGCACCCGAGCTGTAGATGCAAAGGAAATGGTGCCTGCTTTCGCCAGCCATGTGGCCTCACTTCAGTGTGCCTCAGTTTTCCCATCTGTAGACAGGGTTCTCAAAAGACGGCCAGTGAGGTGCGTAGCATAGTTGCTGGCCCCTCGTGAGTGCTGGACACTTGGTAGTCGTTGCTTTTGTTGCAGCTCCTTGTAATGCCTCTTGTCAATTACGATTATTGCTGTGGTAATCAAAATTAAAATAACAACGGATAATGACCCAACTTCTCCCGAGGCAGGTGAGATAAAGGGCAGGAAAAATTCCTCGGTCCAGGTGGAAGCCAAAGCAAGTAGACGAGAGGCTCAGGTCAAGCCGCAGGAAAGAAGCTAGGGGAGGAGAGGAGCTGAGAAACCTCCTGGAGCCGAGGCCCTGAGCGTGGTCCAGGGGCTACAACCGACAGAGACCAGGCAGGCTCCAGGGACAGAGGGCAGGACAGTTCAGAGGATGAGTGGCTGCCTGTCTGATGGAAGAGAGATAGCCTGAGCCCTTGGGGAGACAGGAGACACACGCACACACACACACGCGCAGACATGTGTGCACACATACGGGGTGGATGTTGGGGGCAGAGCTAACTCCTGATGCTCCAGAGGAAGGAGGCTGGAGTTAAAGCGGGGACAGGAGGTAGCTAGAGGACAGGGAGGCCAGGCACTCACTTGTCCCCAAAATGTTCACTGAGCATCTCCTGAGTGCCAGGCCCTGGGTGAGGCGCTGGGAAGGGAGGCAGAGGCTGCCCCTGCGGAGCTCCCTGCTGGAACCTTCAGAGAGGGGCCAGGAGAGCCAGTCCCTCCAGTCAGAAGTTCCTGAGGGGCCAGGGATGCAGAGGGGGAGCGGCCTGGGCAGCCACCTGGCCCAGGGCTTCAGAGGCTGGGGGTGACCCCAGTGCTGGTGAGGGTGGGTCAGGGGTGGGTGGCAGGGGGCACGTGATGTGTGGGAACCCTCCCACACAGTGGACAAGCCCGACTAATGCTGGATTTGCTTTGCAGCTGAGCACAGTCTAACCGCGCCCCTTCCTCCCCTAGGTGCCGCCCGTCCGCAGGGCAGCGGGCAGGGCGGAGCTCCCAGCTCCTGGGCCCCCGGGCCCTGGGTGGGTTGAGCAGAGAAGCCGAGCCTCAGACTTGCCCCTGGGGAGCCTGGGAGCGTGTCTGTGCCCCCACTTGCTGTCCCACCCAGTCTGTGTCCCCCACCCCCGCCACCTCTCTGCCTCCGTCTCCCCAACCCTGGCTCTCTCTGGGGCCCGGGTGCAACTGCCCGTCTGCCTGTCGTTCTGTGTCTGGCTCTGCCACCTTCTCTCTGTGTTTGCTTCTTCTGGGTTGTGAGGGCTTGGGGGAAGTCAGCTGGACCTGGGTGAGGCCAGCATAAAGGGGAAGGAGTTCAGCCTGTTTCTTGGCTGAGGGTGGGCCCAGGCCCTGGGAGACACTGAAATCCTTCCCCTGGGGCCCCTGGTTCTAGCAGGAGGGCAGCAGGCAGGGTGGGAAGGGAGCCGAGTGGCTTATCCACCCCACCACTCCCTGGTGCCCCCTCTGACCGGAGCCCACCTCCCAGCTGGGGCTCCCTACTCCCTGCCCCCGCCTTGCACCAAGGGTGCCCCCTCCCACCTGAGGGCTCTGTCTGCCTGCCTGTACCCCCCTACCACCCCTGTGTCTTTCTGTGTCTTCTCCCTCCTGTGTGTGTCCCCCTCGTCCCTCTGACTGTCTCCCCAGCACCCTCTCACCCCACCTGACCACCCCCAGAGGAAGGGACCTGGGGGCGGGGGCCCGAGCTGATGCTACGGAAGGGGTTGGGGAAGCAGGAGCGAGGAAGGAAAGGAAAAGGGGGCGTGTTGCCAGAAAAGAAACGAAAGCAATTTAATCTCTTTTTTTTTCTCTTTTTTTCTTGCACATTTTTTTTTTCAATTTGTTTTCTCTCTCTCTTCCGATGCTTAAAGTAGAAGTGGAGCAGAAAGGTAAACGCACTGTTACCAATGCTAACCCCTAACTCACACTTTGTTCTACCTGTACCATACTTATGTGACCTGCCCTCCCCCGGCCCCTTCTTCTCTCCCCAACCCACACTTGGTCCGGTCGGTATCCCCCACCCTGGGTTGTCCTCCCAGTGGGACCAGCCCTGGTGCGGCCACGGGCATCTCCACCCTCCAGATACCCACGGAAGCTCCTCTCTGAGCTTGGGCAGGATTTTCTCTCTCTCGCTGTTTCTGTCTCTCTCTGTCCCTCCTTCCTGGTCCCTGGCCCTTTCGGGGGACCTGGCCTTTTCTCATACTTCTTTTGCCTCCTTCAGGAGAAGTGTATAAGCATCCAGGGCGGGTGGGGAGGGAGGGACTCCCTTCCCCGGCTCCCCCACTGGGGCACCGGGTGAGCTGTCTCTCTCTCTCTCTCTCTTTCTCTCTCTCTCTCTCTCTGTCTCTCCCCTCTCTCTTCCTCCTTCCCCTGTACCTTTTATAACATGTTTCTGGTTCATGGGAGGCGGGCTGGAGGGGACACCATTGTTTTCCTTTTGGGGAGCAGATTCTCCTATGTCTCGGGCTCCTGGTGGCTTAAGTTCCTTCTGGTTTGATGTTTCCAAGGCCCAGAGCTGTTTTGGAGCATGGAGCACCAGTCCTCCCCACCCCCAACCTGATCCCCATCTCTGACCAGCTGGGGGCCCAGCCCTGGGGAGGGGTGTCAGCTGTCCCCAGCCCTGGGAGGGGGCAGCCTGCCAAAAAATGAAAAAATGAGGGCGAGGGGGCGGGGGCGGGCCTCGTGGTTGGGGGAGCGAAGGGTGGGGGAGCGTGTTCTCTGTTTCTTTCACACTTGCAAAGCTGCAGTCAGGGTTTCTTCTGGGCTGTTGTGGTTAGAGGACCAGGGAGATGGGCGGCGGGCGGCGGGGGCACAGTCTGGGGACTTCCACAGACTCCGTAATTTCTAGCAGAGAACTCCCTAGTGGATGGGGCTGGCCATTACTGGCTGTTATTGGGGGGAGCGGAGGTGCTGCTGCTGAGGGGCTTCTAGGGTGAGATGTTAGGGATGACCATTTCCTCTCCAGAAAGTTTTGGGAAATTTACCCATCTGAGGCCGGCAGCAGCAGGCAGGGCTGGAGGACATGGCCTTTAGGGATCCCTTTTGCCTTGAAATTACAGTGGTCTGTGGAGCATCCCTTCCGAAGGAGGTGGGGCAGGGTCCCTCTGAGCTGCTCCCCTCCCCGTCTTCCCCTCTCCCCCATCTCAGAGAGGCCTGGGCTGCTGGCCCCAGGTCCGCCCCCTCACCACACCCCTCCAGTCTCCTCTCTTTCTCCTGGAGTCTCTCTCCCTCCCAGCACCAGCCACTCTTCTTGCAGGCCCACTGGTTTGGATGCGGCACCACTGGAGATTTTCTCTTCGAGGGCCAGGGCAGGGCGGGTGGGGTGACGGGGCAAGGGAGGGAAGAGGAGGGATTGGGAGTTTGGTGCTGGTGAAGGGTCCTTGCTGTCCAAGGCCCCAGACAGACCCTTCCTCATCTTCTCCCCCTTCCCCTGGGTTGACCTCTAACCACATTTTTCCCCCCTGACACCCTCTGAGCAGGTTAGGCTCTGAGGCCTCCCACCGTCCCCTTCACACAAACACGTCCCCTCAGATGCCACACACCTGGTGGGGGTGGGGACCGGCTTGGGCAGAGGCCAGTGTGCTGGACAGAGTGGGCAGGCCGACCCCTCAGGGCATCAGGGACAGGGGGATGGCCAGTCCCCAGGGCCCAAGCCAGGGTCGTTTTGGCTCCTGCCCAGCTCTATGTCCCAGGCTCCTCTCCCTCTACAAAAACTACATCCTGGCTGCTTTGTGCCAGGGGGCCCCTGAGCCACATTGTTCCCATGCTGTGAAGGGAGTGCTGCCTGTCCCCCTCCCTCCCAAGCCTGCTGGAGGTGGGGAATGAGGACTAGCCCAAGCCCCTCTTGCCACTGGGGCTGCCCCCCAAGCCGGTGCCAGGTCCCAGCCCCCCGATCCCCTCGGGGCCAGCTGCTTTGGTGACATGCCAAGCAAGAGCAGAGAATTCACTGCAAACCCTCCACCCTCGCCCTGTGCCCTCGCCCTGGCCTATGTGTGGGTTCTGCCAGCCAGGAGGTGAGGGAGGCCCGGCCATCCTGGATGGAGGGGCGCACTCTGGGAGGAGGTGGGGTGTCTGGCCACACTGACCCCCGGATCAGTCAAGGGGAGGTTAGGAGTAGGTGGTGCTGGGACGTGACTGGGCAAGGGTGGGCCGGCCAGCAGTGGCCAACGAGATGCAGTTGAGGTTTTCCTCCTTTTCAGGGATTGGGGGGGTGGGGCGGGGCCCCCCACCTTTCTGACATCAGCGCTGCCTTGGTCCCTCTTCCCGAGCCGGGGATGGTCGCAGGTAAATCGGGGTCCGGGCCAGGGGAGGTGGGGGGCCTGGCTGGGGCGGGCTGGGTCTTTATCCTAGCGCCTGGTTCCCTCCCCTGCCCCCTCCGAGCTGGACCTGGGACTGCCCCCCTGAGGGACCCTCAGTCGGGCCTGGGCCTTGGAGTGAATTCTCTGCTCACCCCTCTCTCCTCCGCCAGCACTAACCCTTTCTTCCCAGGTGGTTTGCAGCGCAGCCTCCCACGGAGCCAGGACCTCGCCAAGCCCCATACGCCCTTGTCTCTCTTCCCTCTGCACAGCTCTCCTCTCCCTCCCCAACTCTCCCGGGAGCCCTGTCCCTCTCCATGTCCCCACCCCCACCCCTGTGCACAGTGCCACTGTCTGCTGCTGAGCCAGACCCCATGAGAGACCCTGCCGGCTGGGGGCAGGGCTGGGCGCCCTCCAGGAGGGGCCAGACTCTTTCATTCCCCGTCCTAGCCTGGGAGCTGCCTCTGGGAATCCCTTCCTCGGCTACTGACTTCGTGGGTACTGGGTGGGGGGTGGGGAGCAGGCTGCATCAGGAACCTGGGGAGAGAGTTGAAACCCCTATCCTGGAATAGGGAGACACTCCTGACACCCACAGTGGGTATGGAAACACCACTCTACCTTGCAATTTTTGCAGGAGGAAGAAAGAGGAGTTAAAAAAAAAAACACTGTCCGGGTGTGGTTGGTGAAGGATGGGATCCTGGACCCTAGCTCTTCCCTAAGTGGCAGAGAAGAGGGAGAAGGGGCCGGGTGCTGAGTCCCTGGACCGTCAAAGTCAGGAGTGACTGTAGCGGGGAGATTCTGCCCCCACTTAAATCACACAGGACCACCTCTGGGAGGGCTCTTGCCAAACTCCTCCCCAGCCTGTGGGGTCTCTAGCAGCCAGGGAAGGGAAGAGGGGCACCACTTCCCCTCACTAACCCCGCTCTTAATGGCCTTCAGGGTTCACATTTCCAGGGAGAGGGGCAGCTGGGCAGGGCGTGGGGAGGGGGTCGGGTCCCAGCCCGGAAACCCCCTTCCCATCACCAGCCATACCAAGCAACCGTGACTGCAGCAGCAGGAGGGGACAACCTGGCTCCCCACCAGCAGCGTGACCAACTTGCCTCTCTCCCCCCTCTCTCTCTCTCTCTCTCTCTCTCTCTCTCTCCTCCCTCTCGCCTCTGCCCCTTCTCTCCTACCTCCTCCCCTCCCGCCCACTCTGCCCAGTCTTCGTGTGCCCAGGGACCCTGCAGAAGGTGCTGGAGCCCACCTCGACACACGAGTCAGAGCACCAGTCTGGCGCATGGTGCAAGGACCCGCTGCAGGCGGGTGACCGCATCTACGTGATGCCCTGGATCCCCTACCGCACGGACACACTGACTGAGTATGCCTCGTGGGAGGACTACGTGGCCGCCCGCCACACCACCACCTACCGCCTGCCCAACCGCGTGGATGGCACAGGCTTTGTGGTCTACGATGGTGCCGTCTTCTACAACAAGGAGCGCACGCGCAACATCGTCAAGTATGACCTACGGACGCGCATCAAGAGCGGGGAGACGGTCATCAATACCGCCAACTACCATGACACCTCGCCCTACCGCTGGGGCGGAAAGACCGACATTGACCTGGCGGTGGACGAGAACGGGCTGTGGGTCATCTACGCCACTGAGGGCAACAACGGGCGGCTGGTGGTGAGCCAGCTGAACCCCTACACACTGCGCTTTGAGGGCACGTGGGAGACGGGTTACGACAAGCGCTCGGCATCCAACGCCTTCATGGTGTGTGGGGTCCTGTACGTCCTGCGTTCCGTGTACGTGGATGATGACAGCGAGGCGGCTGGCAACCGCGTGGACTATGCCTTCAACACCAATGCCAACCGCGAGGAGCCTGTCAGCCTCACCTTCCCCAACCCCTACCAGTTCATCTCCTCCGTTGACTACAACCCTCGCGACAACCAGCTGTACGTCTGGAACAACTATTTCGTGGTGCGCTACAGCCTGGAGTTCGGGCCGCCCGACCCCAGTGCTGGTGAGGACGACTCACTTCCAGGCATGGAGCCTGCTTGCCTTTGTCCCCTCCACCCCCACCCACCCCTGGGTCCCAGAGTGGGGAGCCCCATCCTGTGAGCTCTTGGGGATCGGGAGGTAAAGGAAATTCACAGCATGTGACAGACGCTGTTCTAAGCACTTCACAGTCATTAACTCGTCTCCTCACGGTCTATGACACAGGGATCCTTACTGCCCTGTTTTACAGATGACACTGAGGCTCTGTGTGGGTAGGGGATTAAGTTATTTGAGGATTTGAACCCAGCCTCCCAACCACTGAACTGCAGTGCCTCTCCCAGGGGCCTGGGCACCTTTACTCCAGGAACCCTTGGATCCACCAAAATCCTGGGTGGAAGTCCAGTATCCACAAAAGAGCTGAGCTGCTGATGCTGACCGGGCTGAGGGCAACTCTGCAGTCTTCTTTTGCCCCGCCTAGCTGCCCTGCTAGCTCTGTGCCACCCCAGGGCTCCAGGGAGCCCGATCTAACCCCATCTTGTTTGCAAAAGGGGGAGTTGAGGCCCCCAGAAGGAAGGAGCATAGCCAGGTTACATAAGCCAAAGTCAGCTAGAACGAGGATGGGGGGCGGTGGTATTCAGCCCCCACCTGGTGGCGGGGCTGACCTGGATTGGGGAGGGCTCCTGCCCTCGGGCTCAACCTGGGAGGATTCCTGTCCCCCAGACACCTCTGTCCCTGCCTCTCCCCTGACCGTTCTCTCAGACCTTATGGTACACATCGTGGATTTTTACCACTCTTTGCTACTTTATATGGGCCCATGGGCATAAGGGACTTTGGTGGGCACAGAGCGGCCAGGGGAGATCAACTCATAGACCCAGTGGGGCCCGGCACGTGTTTCCACTTCAGTAGATGAGGAAGATGCTAAGATGGCCTGGGACCCCCTGCCCAAGCACACTGTGGCATGGCCCTGAGCATGGGGATGACCCTGTCTCGTATCCCCTCTCCAGGCCCAGCCACTTCCCCACCCCTCAGCACGACCACCACAGCCAGGCCCACGCCCCTCACCAGCACAGCCTCGCCCGCAGCCACCACCCCGCTCCGCCGGGCACCCCTCACCACGCACCCAGTGGGTGCCATCAACCAGCTGGGACCTGATCTGCCTCCAGCCACAGCCCCAGTCCCCAGCACCCGGCGGCCCCCAGCCCCGAATCTACACGTGTCCCCTGAGCTCTTCTGCGAGCCCCGAGAGGTACGGCGGGTCCAGTGGCCGGCCACCCAGCAGGGCATGCTGGTGGAGAGGCCCTGCCCCAAGGGGACTCGAGGTGAGTACAGAGGCTGCAGCCAGGGGAGGGATGGGGGCCATGCCCCCAGCAGCTTAGCACAGATGCATGTGTGGGTGGGGGTCTCTACTGCGGAGCAGAGGTTTTCTGAGGGCAGGGGTCATCCCCAGTGACCAGCAGAGCTCTCAGGGCACAGGAGCCACTCAGTGCCCCTGGCCCCACCTGCAGAACCTGCAGGGAGTCCGCAGGAGGTGACCTGGCTCCCGGCCTCAGGCTGACCTGCCACAGCCCCAGGCACAGTCAGCTTCACATGGATGGCCAGCTGAAGTGCAAAAAGGGCAGGGCCGTGTGTCCTGGAGATCTGAGGGGAGGGTTGGCAGGTGCTTCGTGGAGAGGGGGCGTTCAAGATGGGCCTTGCTGGAAGGTTCTAACTCTGGAGGCAAAGACAGAAGGGGGCAGGAGGGAGAGCTCAGGGGAAGTGAGTGGCGCCTCTTTCGACTGTCCAGCCCGCTTCATGTCTGTTTCTCCGTGTTTCCCTCACCTCCCTCTTCGCCCGCTCGTCCCCCACTCTCTGTCATCTCCTTTCCCCCTCTCTGTCCCATCCTTCTCTTCTTCCCTTTGGCTCCCTTGTCTGTTCCTGTCTGTCTGTCCCTGCAGGAATTGCCTCCTTCCAGTGTCTACCAGCCTTGGGGCTCTGGAACCCCCGGGGCCCTGACCTCAGCAACTGCACCTCCCCCTGGGTCAACCAGGTGGCCCAGAAGGTACCAGCCACCACCCCTCGCAGGCAGGCACATGTGCTCGGGCCCAGGGCCCAGGGCCCAGCGGGGGTCGTGGAGCAGCTGGGGAGACATGGGCTGGCAGGTCTGGAAGGCAGGACTGTGGGGTCACCTCCCTGGCCTACAAAGGGAGCAGGGACAGATGGGGTGGGAAGGGGCAGATGGCGATGGGGAAGTGGAGAGAGAGATAGGAGAGGCTGCACAGGCCAGGGAAGCCGGGGAGGGCAGGATGGTCCCTGACAGTCCTGGGATTCCCCCTTCCCGCCCCCACCTCATGCAGATCAAGAGTGGGGAGAACGCGGCCAACATCGCCAGCGAGCTGGCCCGACACACCCGGGGCTCCATCTACGCGGGGGACGTCTCCTCCTCTGTGAAGCTGATGGAGCAGCTGCTGGACATCCTGGATGCCCAGCTGCAGGCCCTGCGGCCCATCGAGCGCGAGTCAGCCGGCAAGAACTACAACAAGGTGGGGCCTGGCGGTGGCGCTGACCTGGTATGGGGAGGGCGCCTGCCCCCAGGGGCTTGGGAAGTACCTGACCTGGTACCTCCCAGCCAGGCTGCCACCTCCACTCCTTTCCTCAGAGAGGAAGGACCCCCCCCTCTCCGCCAAGGACTGCCGGGTCTCACTCCTGTGCTGCCCCGGATGGTCCTGGGGGTTGGGGATCCCTGAGGAATGTCTTGCTGATAGCCCAGCCCTGGGTCAGTGGTAACCGCAGACGAGAGAGCTATCCAGATGTGACAGTATTAGGGTGAGGGAACCGGCACCCAGAGGCCTGGCCTGACATCACCTCCATCTCTTTCTAGATGCACAAGCGAGAGAGAACTTGTAAGGATTATATCAAGGTGAGACCCAGGGGGTCCCAGTGTAAGGACCGTGGGCTCCAGCTGATGGGGGGATTAGGGGTGGAGGTTGAGAAGAGGGCATGCAGAGCCCACCCCCAGGAATTAGAGGGTGTTGGGGGGCTCACAGCACCATGCCCTCTGCCTGTGCAGGCCGTGGTGGAGACAGTGGACAATCTGCTCCGGCCAGAAGCTCTGGAGTCCTGGAAGGACATGAATGCCACGGAGCAGGTGCACACGGCCACCATGCTCCTCGACGTCCTGGAGGAGGGCGCCTTCCTGCTGGCCGACAATGTCAGGGAGCCTGCCCGCTTCCTGGCTGCCAAGGAGAACGTGGGTGAGTGCCACAGTCACCCAGGGCAAACTCAGATACGAACCTTAAACCACGGGGTTCTGGCCTGGAGGCCACAGGGGGGCTATCCGACCCTTGGGCATCTTGCCAGAGTCTCGTTCTGCAGCCTGAGCCCCTGGACTGGGAACAGACCCCAACTGTGTATGCCTTGCCTTCCCCTGTCCCCACAGTCCTGGAGGTCACAGTCCTGAACACAGAGGGCCAGGTGCAGGAGCTGGTGTTCCCCCAGGAGGAGTACCCGAGAAAGAACTCCATCCAGCTGTCTGCCAAAACCATCAAGCAGAACAGCCGCAATGGTCAGTGTCCCCGGCGGGGCCTCGGGTGGGGAAGCAGCCCCACCCCCACCCCCCAGCTCTGTGCCAGCGTCTCTGTGCCATTTGTAGAGGGCAGCGGTGCTGACCTTTTCTCATGCTAGTGTAAAATTTGAGGGGATTCATGGGCCCTGAAGTGCTGCAGAGCCCTAAGGGTGAGCCTTACAGTTGCAAAGCTGGCTCCTGGGCCTCACAGCTCAGAGAGGATGGGGCCATTGAGATGAAGGCTCAGAGAGGTCAGGGGCTTGCCCAAGGTCACACAGTGAGAATGGGTGGGTCGGAGGCCCAGCTTGTGTGTCCTGGCACACTGCCCTGCTGTTTAGAACTGCCTTCAGCTGAGCAGTGGTCTTGTGGACAGGGCTCCCTGACCCCCACCTGCCTGGGCTATGGACTGGCTTCAGAGGTCCCAGTGGCCAGCGTGGCCAAGGGCTGAGGAGCTGGCTGAGCTGGGAAGCCAGGGGCCTGGATGGAGGTGCGCCAGCTGAGGATGCTGACACATCCAAACGTGCCTGTTCTCACCAGGGGTGGTCAAAGTTGTCTTCATCCTCTACAACAACCTGGGCCTCTTCCTGTCCACGGAGAATGCCACAGTGAAGCTGGCCGGCGAAGCAGGCCCGGGTGGCCCTGGGGGCGCCTCTCTAGTGGTGAACTCACAGGTCATCGCAGCATCCATCAACAAGGAGTCCAGCCGCGTCTTCCTCATGGACCCTGTCATCTTCACCGTGGCCCACCTGGAGGTGAGCTGAGCCGTCCCCCTCCCTCCATGGGGGTCCCTGTACCCTCTGTGTTCCCAGGCTGTGTACCTGCCCCTCCATGTGCTCACCTCCAGAACAAGTTATGGGTTCTTCCACTTTAGAGCTTGGGCCATTTGTCCCCAGAGCTCTCAGAATGTCAACTGGAGCCCCAGACCCCAGGCACTTCTTTGATACTTGGTACCATCCCTGTTGCCAGGTGTGGGGGGTCGGAATGGGACTCCCCGGTTCTGACTCTAGTTATGACACCCTGGTGCCACCACACAACAGGACAAGAACCACTTCAATGCTAACTGCTCCTTCTGGAACTACTCGGAGCGTTCCATGCTGGGCTACTGGTCGACCCAAGGCTGCCGCCTGGTGGAGTCCAACAAGACCCATACCACGTGTGCCTGCAGCCACCTCACCAACTTCGCTGTGCTCATGGCTCACCGTGAGATCGTAAGCTGGCTGGTGCTCTGCTCCTCCAGGCAGGCCCGATTGCTGGCCTGGCTTTGCATGGCATCCTAGAGAGATCACGGGCAGTACCAGGGGAGGCTAGCCCCATGGGTGTGGGGGGCCCCTGGTCTTGCCTGGGGCATGAGGCCATGCGTCTGGTCCTCTATGGCCATGATCCCACCGTCTCCCAAGGCACTCTGGAGAAGCAAGTTGGTGTTACGTTGGTCATCTCTCCACAAGCCTTCCAGAGCATGAGGAAGTGAGCGCATTGCTGCGTGCAGAGGGGTGAGGGCTGCCAGGTTGGCGGCACCAGAGGTCCTCACGGCCCATGGCCTTGCCCAGGGCCCTGTCTGTGGCTGGCACCTGGCTGAGCCCAGCGTGCAAAACCAAAGGCCCTGAGCGTGCCCCCTGTTCCTGTCCCCAGTACCAGGGCCGCATCAACGAGCTGCTGCTGTCGGTCATCACCTGGGTGGGCATTGTGATCTCCCTGGTCTGCTTGGCCATCTGCATCTCCACCTTCTGCTTCCTGCGGGGGCTGCAGACCGACCGCAACACCATCCACAAGAACCTGTGCATCAACCTCTTCCTGGCTGAGCTGCTCTTCCTGGTCGGGATCGACAAGACTCAGTATGAGGTGGGCTGGGACTCTAGGGCAGGTGACGGCCAGCGCCTGGGGGCCGGGAGAAGAAGGGGGACACCTGTCCAGGCAGCAGCCCCTCACCCTCAGTGCTCCCCGCAGATTGCCTGCCCCATCTTCGCCGGCCTGCTGCACTATTTCTTCCTGGCTGCCTTCTCCTGGCTGTGCCTGGAGGGCGTGCACCTCTACCTGCTACTAGTGGAGGTGTTTGAGAGCGAGTATTCCCGCACCAAGTACTACTACCTGGGTGGCTACTGCTTCCCGGCCCTGGTGGTGGGCATCGCGGCTGCCATTGACTACCGCAGCTACGGCACCGAGAAGGCGTGAGTTTCCACCTCCCAGCCCTGCACCCTCCCACCTGGTTCCCTGCTGGGCGGCACCCCTTGGACCAGGACCCTCAGGGCGGTAGTCCCTTCCTCCTCCTGATCCCAGAGGCTGCAGCCTGCAGAGTCCTAGGCCTTCATGAGTCGCTGGGAATGGCTCCTCGGCTTCTCTCTATACCCCGGCCCTGTTTCCTTTACAGCTGCTGGCTCCGAGTGGACAATTACTTCATCTGGAGTTTCATCGGGCCAGTCTCCTTCGTTATCGTGGTGAGTTGGGAGGTGACACCCCTAGCACCACATCTTCCTTCATCCAGGCTGGCCTTGACCCCAGCCCCTGCCCCCGCCCCCCACCCCCCCCACACACACACACACTCTCTCTCTCTCCACACATCGGAACTGAGCCACCGGCTGAGAGGATGAAAGTGTGCTGGGTCCATGGAGCTCCAGTGCTGAGGGCTGCTCGCCTGGGGGGCTGTGATTTGAGCCCCTAGTGTGTGTCAGGCCATGGGCCTTGTCCTCCCAGCAGCCAGGAGTGGCATTAAATTGCCGGTCATGCCAATCAGCTCACCGCTGCACAGCGGGCACCTCAGGGGCAGGTACGGGGTTCTCCCAGCAGAGGCGAGGGCCACAGCTGAGATTTCGCCAGGCTGGGCCCTAGCCTCAGTGCTCACTGAGGGAGGCAGGGCCACTCTCAGCCCAGCCTGCCCCTTGTCCCGCCCCCAGGTCAACCTGGTGTTCCTCATGGTGACCCTGCACAAGATGATCCGAAGCTCATCTGTGCTCAAGCCCGACTCCAGCCGCCTGGACAACATTAAGTGAGCCTCGCCCCTGCCTGCCCCCTGCCCCATCACCCACCCCCGCCCCACGCTGGGCCCACCTCTTCCAGGGTGTCCTAAAAGGTAGTGCTGTCACCTCTGGTGACACACATTGCAATTTTAAGTACCAACAGGGGTGTTCTATTGTGTTCACTATGTACCTACTTAATGGGTCTTAGATAGCGTATCATTAGCACGTCCAACCTGTGGTTTTAGGGGCATCGGTATGTAGGCTGAGGCTAAATTCAAAAGGTGAGTCTGTTTAAGGGCAACTTAAAGAGAAATAGGCAGCAAATATAGCCTAAGTGGTCTGGAAATTTAGCAGAAACAATGAAGTTGGCAGAGGAATAACTGATGTTCACAATACCCCGACCCCTGACCCAGTACCTTTCCCTCAGGCCCAGGCTCCGGTGGAGGTGTCCTGGGCAGGCCACTGCCCCCAAGGCCCACTCGGCCCGCTCAGGGCTTTGCAGACAGTGCCCAGGCCCACCCAAGGGCCCCCGTTGTAGGCTGCAGGGGAGGCCTGGGCTGAGGCCGTCCCCTCCGGCGGGTACTTTGACTCCCCTGTCGCCCCACTCCCAGATCCTGGGCGCTGGGGGCCATCGCGCTGCTGTTCCTGCTGGGCCTCACCTGGGCTTTCGGCCTCCTCTTCATCAACAAGGAGTCGGTGGTCATGGCCTATCTCTTCACCACCTTCAACGCCTTCCAGGGGGTCTTCATCTTCGTCTTTCACTGCGCCTTACAGAAGAAGGTGAGGTCGAGGCGGGGTCCTGGGTCACAGCCTCCCTTGGAGACGTTTCCTGGGTACCCAGGAGAAGGCGGCGAGGGTGGAGGGGACTCAGGGGCTCCCTCAAGCCCCCAGTGAGTGCTGCAGGGCTTCTGTGGTCAGGTCTGCGTCCACCGGGAGGGGAGCACGAGCTCAGGGTTAGGGAGGGTTTAACCACGGGTGAAGAGGGTTCTGGAAAACAAGATACAGCAACTTAGAGGAGTGAGAGCAGAACAGATTTGGTAATGGGGAACCCTCACCACCATGAGGGCCACGAGTCAGGCCTGGGAGAGGGAGGACTTTGGGAGCCACCCTGAGGGAGCACTGCCTACATTCATAGTTCTGGAAAGAATTGTGAATTTTGTGGTGATAGAAAGGATCTTTTTAAAATAAATGTGTTAAAATCTGAATCTTAAAAAAACATACAGTCCGGACACGGTGGCTCACGCCTGTAATCCCAGCACTTTAGGAGGCTGAGGCGGGCGGATCACCTGAGGTCAGGAGTTCCAGACCAGCCTGGCCAACATGGTGAAACCCCGTCTCTACTTAAAAAATATAAAAATTAGCCTGGTGTGGTGGTGGGCGCCTGTAGTCCCAGCTACTTGGGAGGCTGAGGGGCTGAGGCAGGAGAATTGCTTGAACCCCAAAGGCAGAGGTTGCAGTGAGCCAAGATTGCGCCACTGCACTCCAGTCTGGGCAACAGAGCAAAACTCTGTCTCCAAAACAAACAAACAAAAAAACCACACATACAAAGGGCTGGGTGCAGTGGCTCATGCCTGTAATCCCAGCACTTTGGGAGGCTGAGGCAGGAGGATTGCTTAAGCCCAGAAATTCAAGACCAGCCTGGGCAACAGAGACCCCGTCTCTATTTAAAAAAACCAAAGGGGACAACAGTAGCTGGGGAACATGGGCAGGGAATGGGGATACTGGCAGCACCCTCAGGACTGAAGCTGGGGAGACGGAGCTGAGGCATTTGTAGAGTCAGTCCTGGCAGCAGTGCAGGCCATGGAGACTGCTGTTGGACTTGGGGAGTGGTGAGGCAGGTAAGGCTTAAGGCAGGGGATGGCAGAGGCAGTGATCATGAGAATCCTGGTTGCAAGGGAGGAGGTGGCCTGTGTCCCTGCTCTGTCCAACATTGTCCTGGCCCCTCCTTGGACACACGGTCAAAGGCAGTGTTTTCACAGCCCCCACCTCACACGCAGTGGCAGCAATGTCCTTTCAGGGGACCCCAGGCCCCTATGGTCTGATCTGGGCCCCTCGGCTCCCCTCCCTCCAACCTCTGCTCTCAGACACCTAGATGTGGACCCTCAGGGTGCAGCCCCCGTTCTTACCTTGGCTTAAATGAGGCCTCCTCTGATCTATTTATTTTTTTAGGTTTTTTTTTTATTATCATTATTATTTTTGAGACAGAGTCTCGTTCTGTCCCCAGGCTAGAGTGCAATGGCGCGATCTCGGCTCACTGCAACCTCCACCCCCCCAGCTTCAAGCAATTCTCCTGCCAACTAGCTGGGATTACAGACGCCCACTGCCACGACCAGCTAATTTTTGTATTTTTAGTAGAGGTGGGGTTTCACCATGTTGCCCAGGCTGGTCTCGAACTCCTGACCTCAGGTGATCCACCCACCTCTGCCTTCCAAAGTGCTGGGATTACAGGTGTGAGCCACCATGCCTGGCCTCCTCTGATCTATTTAAAATCACAACCAGTCTGGCCAACATGGTGAAACCCCGTCTCTACTAAAAATACAAAAAAAAAAAAAAAAATTAGCCAGGTGTGGTGGTGTGCGCCTGTAATCCCAGCTACTCAGGAGGCTGTGGCAGGAGAATCGTGTGAACCAGGGAGGTGGAGGTTGCAGTGAGCCAAGATTGCACCATTGCACTCCAGCCCGAGTGACAGTGCAAGATTCCATCTCAAAAAAAAAAAAAAAAAAAAAATCACAACCTGCTCCCAAGTCAGCACTGCCTAACCCCCTTTCTGGCCATAGTTTTCTCCGCAGCACCTAACAGCATCCAACAGCTTGCATATTTATATTTTCATCTATGTTCTGTCTCTGTCTACTGAAATATAAGCTCTCAGAGGTAGGGATTTGTGTCTGTTGTGTTCCATACCTTCCCTGAGGCCTAAATTGTGCCTGGCACATAGCGGATGCTCAATAATGCTCTGTTGATTTTATGAATGAATGAAAAACTGTCAGAGGAGGTGGAGAAGAGGATGGGCCTGAGTAAGAAGAGAGTGAAACCTGATCGGCTGGCTGTTGGGGGACAGGGGACATCAAGGCTTCCGTGGCCTGCAAGTCGCTGAACAGGGGAACACAGTCATTGGAAGCTCGGTCTCCGGCCTCCCAAGGCTGCCTGTCTTGTGACCAGCCCTGTGGGAGACTGGATCACAGAGGAGGCCAGTGTCCCAGCCAGCTGACTGTCCTCCACCTCCCAGGTGCACAAGGAGTACAGCAAGTGCCTGCGTCACTCCTACTGCTGCATCCGCTCCCCACCCGGGGGCACTCACGGATCCCTCAAGACCTCAGCCATGCGAAGCAACACCCGCTACTACACAGGGACCCAGGTATCGGGCCAGACAGGACTCCCTGGGGCTGAGTGTTGGAACCTGGAGCCTGAGAGGTGGGGAGTGGCTTGGCCTAGGTTTCTGATCGTGATGATCAGGTGAGCAGTCTCAGAAAGACGCCAGAGGGTGGGTGGCCCAAGGATCCCCTCACATTTGGGTTGTGTTCCCAGAGCCGAATTCGGAGGATGTGGAATGACACTGTGAGGAAACAGACGGAGTCCTCCTTCATGGCGGGTGACATCAACAGCACCCCCACCCTGAACCGAGGTGAGAAGGCATCCTTCTGCCTCTGGCTTCAGTCTCTGGAGGCTCCCGGCTGCCTTGTGACCTCTGATCCTTTGGCCAGGTACCATGGGGAACCACCTGCTGACCAACCCCGTGCTGCAGCCCCGTGGGGGCACCAGTCCCTACAACACCCTCATCGCCGAGTCAGTGGGCTTCAATCCCTCCTCGCCCCCTGTCTTCAACTCCCCAGGTGAGAGCACGGGGGAAACATCCCAGGTTGGGAAATGGAGGGTTTGTGTCCCAAGGGACCTCTGCATGGGATGTTCTGTGCCCCAGAACTGGAGCCTGGACTTGCATTTCGAGCTCATCCTTGCCTTTTCTCTTCTCTCTTCTGGCTGCCACCTGCAGGGAGCTACCGGGAACCCAGTAAGTGTGACTCTTCCCTGGGGATGTTTCTGAGGCTGGGAGAGGGACAGACAGTGGCCTTCTCAGACGGCCTCACTTAAGGAGGAGAACTCGGGATGCCTCCCCATGCCCACATTTCCCCACCCCCCGACACACAGCCTCTGGCAGCCGAATGGAGGATAATGGATGGTGTTCATTGAGTTTGGGCTGTTAAGTGCTGAGGGTCTGAGCACAGGAAAGCGATCCTGTTGCCCAGGCCTCCTCACACTGCTGAGATTCTGAACCTCCAGCTGGGGATGAGATCCTGGGGGAACTGGTCCTTGTCCCCCACCTTTCATCAATACGCTGCTGGGCTGGTGTGTCTAGTGCCAGTGAGGGAGAAAGGGAATGTGAGATCAGAGATCCAGGGGGCAGGGGGAAGCCTACGGAAAACCAGCAGGAATCAAGCCCACTTCTCCACATGGACCGCACCCCCTCACTGTCCCCTAGTGCATCCAGGGCCCCTCTTCAACCTGACCAGCCCCTTTCTGCCCTGCAGAGCACCCCTTGGGAGGCCGGGAAGCCTGTGGCATGGACACCCTGCCCCTGAACGGCAACTTCAATAACAGTTACTCCTTGCGAAGTGGGGATTTCCCTCCCGGGGATGGGGGCCCTGAGCCGCCCCGAGGCCGGAACCTAGCCGATGCGGCGGCCTTTGAGAAGATGATCATCTCAGAGCTGGTGCACAACAACCTGCGGGGGAGCAGCAGCGCGGCCAAGGGCCCTCCACCGCCTGAGCCCCCTGTGCCACCTGTGCCAGGGGGCGGGGGCGAGGAAGAGGCGGGCGGGCCCGGGGGTGCTGACCGGGCCGAGATTGAACTTCTCTATAAGGCCCTGGAGGAGCCTCTGCTGCTGCCCCGGGCCCAGTCGGTGCTGTACCAGAGCGATCTGGACGAGTCGGAGAGCTGCACGGCCGAGGACGGCGCCACCAGCCGGCCCCTCTCCTCCCCTCCTGGCCGGGACTCCCTCTATGCCAGCGGGGCCAACCTGCGGGACTCACCCTCCTACCCGGACAGCAGCCCTGAGGGGCCCAGTGAGGCCCTGCCCCCACCCCCTCCCGCACCCCCCGGCCCCCCCGAAATCTACTACACCTCGCGCCCGCCAGCCCTGGTGGCCCGGAATCCCCTGCAGGGCTACTACCAGGTGCGGCGTCCTAGCCACGAGGGCTACCTGGCAGCCCCAGGCCTTGAGGGGCCAGGGCCCGATGGGGACGGGCAGATGCAGCTGGTCACCAGTCTCTGAGGGCACCTCATGGACCAGGGGCTGGTGGCCCAGGCCAGGGAGGGAACCCTGGGCAGGGCTCTGGTGGGAGAGGGAGACAGATGGAGGCAGTGGCTGGTGGGCCACTCTCTCCAGGTGCCCCTCAGCCATGGGCCCTACAGTCCCCTCAGGGGACTCTAACCTGGGGGCCTGAGGTGCCAGGGTTCACAGACAGGGTTTCCCACCAGCCACACGCACCAGCTCTATTTGGGGGAAGTGTAGTGAGGAGGAGCCCAGAGGACCCCAGGGGAGTGAGGAGGGAGAACTTGGAAGGGTGCAGCCCACTTCCAGACTCTCCCCTCTCCCACCCTTCTACCCTGTGAAGGGAAATGAGGGCTTTAGTTTCCTGGGCAGGGAGGGGCAGCTTCTGAGGTTGCCAAAGGCCCCCACTGGATGGAACCTGTTAGCTGCTCCTCTCCGCAGCCAGAAATGCTGCCGGCTGCACCCAGAGGGAGCAGTGAGGCAGGACAGATGGACAGGTTCCTCCTGCGCTGTAATTCCCTGCTCCCTGGAGACTGGGAAAAGGCCGCAGGGCAGGGGGACTGGGCGGTGGTGGCTGGTGGTTTAAAGGTTGAACTTTCTCTGAAGCTCCTTTCCCCTTGCTCTTGGTCCCTGCCCCGCAAGCAAACCTGCCCCCTCTGCCTCCCAGTGCACCCAATGACCCCCTCCCTTGGGGCGACTCCTGATGAAGCACAACTCCCCGCAGGGCCCCCAGCCCACAGGGGTGGCCATATTTGGGCAGTTCCCAGTCCTGTGGGCTCGGCTATCTGGGGAGCAGATTTTGGGTCTGGATCTCCCTGGGGAGTGGGTCCTGGGCTTGGATCTTTCCCTAGGGGGCCCTCTTACTCCTTCCTCTCTCCTCCTCCTTCCCCATTGCTGTAAATATTTCAACGAAATGGAAAAGAAAAAAAAAAGACAAAAAAAAAAAAAAAGAAAAGAAAAAAAATCTCATCACTTGAAGCCACCGGGAGCCTGCGGCCCGGGCCAGCCCGGGCTTTCTCCGGAGCAGAGCAGCGCTGCTGGCCTGGCAGCCAGGACTTCTCCGTGTACGTGCATCCCCAGTCCCCGCCGGGGCGGGCGGGCCGCCAGAGCAGCTTTTTACAATCCAGAGACAGAAAACAAAATCTAGATGCAACAGCGAAACAAAGAACCCATTTCCTTCCTGGCACCCTCCTTTCCTGCTCCGCCTGCCCGGCATCATCAGCCCTTCTGGGGCGTGTACCTCTCACTGCCTGCCCCAGGACCAGAGGCCTGTCTCCCCCTTCCCTCCCCACCGGCCCGGGGGAGACCTCTTCACACCCAAAGATGCTTTGTCAAGATGGCTGCGCTGTCCCTTTGAGTTCCTGCTTCTTGTATATTGCTCTGGGGACTCTCGCCGGGGAAGATGGGGCTGATTTCCCACCTAGAGAGGTTGATGGCAGAAGGAAAATGGGGAGGCACTGGGGTTGTGGAGGGCATGGGTATGGCTGAGGAGGGTGCTGGGAACGGCAAGGCGGTCTGGGGGATGGGGAGGGGCAAAGGTGAGAGATCACCTTCCCTATCCTCCACCTTCCCGCAGGGAAGACGAAGCCAGGTGCCAGGGCTGGGGTCGGGACACCCATGTTCTGGGCGGCTTGACCCCAAATCCCAGACCCCGGAAGCTCCAGGCTCGGGATGTGTCCTGAGCACCTGTCCCGGCCCCCTCCTCTCCAGCCTGTCAGGCCAGCCTCCCCAGCCCCCTTCCCTCAACTCTAGGGGCAGCATAGCCCCAGGCCACCCTAGCCCAGCCCCTGCATTGCCGTTTCCCCAGAGGTGGCCCCTCCACCTCTGCTCTGACCTCTCCCCATCTCTCTGCCCCTCCTTTTCTCACAAGTGCCATGAGTTTTCAAACATCTTCGGGTCTCAGCCTGCTGCTGCCATGAACTTTGTTGGGTTAAGGGGGAGGGGCTCTAGGAAGGAACTGGGGGGAAGGGGACAGGTAGGTGGCTGGAGGGACCCTTTTTGCTGCTAGAAAGCCCCTCCCTTCTCCCGGGGAGCTGGGGCTGGCTTGTCCCCATCAATTAGGGGAGAAGGGGTCAGACCAAAGATGGTGGTTTGTCCCGTGTAAGGGAACAGGTGTGGGGAAGAGGTGGGGTTGGGTTCCAACTCTGGCTTTTTCTGGTAGAAAGGCCTAACCCATTACACCAGAAGACCATGGGTGAAGTCTAGATGGGGAGGAGAAGTGAGGCCAGGGACAGTCTTGCCAGACGACTCTGAGGAGGGCAAGGGACAGTTCCATGGCCCTTCCCGGACTGCACTAGGCTGGGAGCTCTGTTGTGTGGAGGGGTGGTCAGAGGTCTGTGAAGAGCGGGCAGGAGGCATGAGCAGGCGAGGAGCTGGCCTGTCCCGGGAAGCAGCCCAGCCTGTGGCTGCCCCCGACACCAGGAGGAGGGCCAGGAGAGTTCCAGGGGGCTGAGGCACACAGAGAGGCCAACTTCCTCCCTGCCCAGCCTTCCTTGTATCTCTCCAGACTCGGACAATCAAAGGGAGAGAGGGTGTATCGGGTCCTGTTCCAGCCGGCATCGCCGGGTGGCTTCCAGGCCTCAGAGCTGTGTGGCAGGGCCCCCTGCTGGGGCTGGACATCACTGCAGTCCAGTGCAAAGCCGCCCCCAGAGCCCAGGTGTCCCCCCAACCTAACCAGACCTGGTGCCTTGACGCCCCCACCCCAGCTGGGACGGTACAGAGAAGGGTCTTGGTTTCCTCTCCTACTCCCTTCCTTAGGCTCCTGAACTCGTTTGCTCCTAAATCTTGTTAATTCTTTTTCTCTGGATTTTGGTTTCTTTTGGCTTTCCCTTGCCTTCCCCTTTCTCTGTCTCCAACACTCTTTCCCCATGTCTTTCTGGCTGTCTCTATGTTCCTCTTCTCTTATCCTCAACTTTCTGTCCATTCGGGCCTCCTCCCCACCTCCCACGCCCCAGCCCCTCCCTCCTTGGTCTCCTTTTCGATATGCCAAACCAATTTTGGGTCGAGTGCATTTAACGAGAACAAAACAAAAGGCTCATAACAACAAGAACGTTTCAGAAAAAAACAAAAAGTTTTAAAAAAATTGTTGAGTCAAAAAGTCAAACAATAAAGAAATTAAGATTTCTTGGAATGACAAGAGTGGTGTGACTTCTTGAGTGGGGGAGTAAGAAATGGGTGAATAGCTGGGCGCGGTGGCTCAGGCCTGTAATCCCAGCATTTTGGGAGGCCGAGGTGGGTGGATCACTTGAGGCCAGGAGTTTGAGACTAGCCTAGTCAACATGGTGAAACCCCATCTCTACTAAAAAGACAAAATTAGCTGGGCGTGGTGGCAAGCACCTGTGGTCCCAGCTACTTGGGAGGCTAAGGCAGGAGAATTGCTTGAACCCGGCTGGGAGGCAGAGGTTGCAGTAAGCCAAGATCGTACCACTGCACTCCAGCCTGGGCTATAGAGTGAAATTCTGTCTCAAAAAAGAAAGAAAGAAATGGTTGAGCAGATCTGCACAGGGGCGTCCCCATGGGCTCTGGTCTGCACTCGAGCATTCAGAACCCCTGGCAGAGGCTTGACAGTTATAGAATCATTCACGTTTATGAGACCTTGGTAAGTTCCTGGGCCTGGTGGAGCATTTCATGTGCAGTTTCTCTGAATCCTCACAAAATCCTCCCAGATGGAGACAGCGATTAGAGTTCCATTTTACAGATGGGGAAACTGAGGCTTACAGCCCTCAGATGCATGCCCAAGTCTCTCTGACCAGGCCACTGTTCCATGCTGTCTCACAGAAGCCCTTCTTGGCCCAGACGTCTGTCCCCAGGCTGTACTAGAGCAGAGCTCAGGAATTTTACACTGTGATGTCTCATTACAATTGCCATTCCTACACTCCCACACGCTACTGGCAGGGAGTGCTTTCAAACTTGACACACGGTGGAATTGCATCATGTGTATTTCACGTTGTCAGTTCACCAACGAACTGCCCATGCTCAGAGAGAGGCATAACTACTCAAACTACAAGGATCCTTTTCCGGGCCCCTCTGCCTTAAAAAGATACCTGTGTCTAGGACACCACCCACCTCCCCACAACAGCCACTCCTTCCCAGTCTTCATGGCTGGCTCCTTCTCATCTGACCTCCTAATGATGGGGAACCCAGGGGCTCAGTCCTTAGACCTTTTCTCTCACTCCCTGGAAGGTTTCACCCCATCTCATGGTTTGAAATGCCTCCGGGTGGGTGCAGTGGCTCATGCCTGTAATCCCAACACTTTGGGAGGCCGAGGCAGGCAGATCACGAGGTCAGGAGTTCGAGACCAGCCTGGCCAACAAGGTGAAATCCCGTCTCTACTAAAAACACAAAAATTAGCTGGGTGTGGTGGCGAGCGCCTGTAGTCCCAGCTGCTCAGGAGGCTGAGGCAGGAGAATCGCTGGAACCCAGGAGGCGGAGGTTGCAGTGAGCTGAGATCGCACCACTGCACTCCAGCCTGGGCGACTGAGACTCCATCAGAAGAAAGAAAAGAAAGAGAAGAGAAAGGAAAAGAGAAACGGAGAAAGAAAGAGAAAGGAAGGAAAGAAGAAAAAGAAAAGAAAGAAAAGGAAAGAAAGAGAAAGAGAGAGAGAGAGAGAAAGAAACGCTACCTATACACTGATCACCCCCAAACGTAGCTCTCCAGCCTGAACTCCTACCTGAGCTCCAGATTTACATATATTCACCTACCTACCCCATCTCTCTGCCTGGTATCTGGTAGGATCTCAAACTAACCTGTCCTAAACTGAGACCCTGGCCTCTCCCACCCCCATCTCTACCACTGCCACCACTGTAGTTCTTCCCACGTGAGGCTTTGAGGCTTCCTCACCTCAACTAAAAGTGAGTCCATCCATACCTTGATTCAAGCTAAAGACCTTGGAGCTTCTCTTGAACTCATCTTGTTTGATACCCCACATCTAATTTGACAGTAAATGCAATGGTGGCTCTAACTTCTAAATATCCAGAATTAATTAGTTCTCACCCATCTTTCACCAGAGCCACTACAACAGTCCCCTAAATATTATAGCTCGTTTGTCCCTCTTCAGGTTTTTCTCAACACAGAAACCAGAGTGATCTTGGTAAACAGATTTTGTCCCTCCTCAGCTCAAAACTCTCCAATGCTCTCCTATCTCACCCAAAGCACAGGTAAAGGTCAACACAATGGCCTACAGGCCCTCCAACCTCACCCCCTGGCGTCCTCCCTACCTTCCGTCCACTCGCTGGACTCAAACATGCAGGCACCCTCTTGCCTGCCTCAGGGCTTTTGCACCGGCTGTTCTCGCTGCTGGCTTGGGCCCCCTCCCCCATCCCCATATCCACAGAGTTGACTTCCTCTCCTGCAGAGTTTATGAAAATGAAATCCTATTTCCCAGAAGGCCTTCCCAAGCCACTCCAGAACTTCCTAGTCTGTGCCTTGCTCTGTCTTCATAGTACTACTGGCTAGCAATTACGTTTTGCTTATCTGTTTATTATCTGCCTCTTGGCTAGAATGTAAGATCTGAAAATGCAAGGGTTCTTGATCTGAGCCTAGCATAGCATCTGGCACACAGGCGATATGTAAATTTCTGTTAAAGAATGGGAGCTGAATTCAGCACAAGACCCAAAGTGAGCACAAGATGAGAGTGAAGGGCGATGGAAGCTCTTCAATAAGGATAAAGAAATATATTAAAAAGAAAAAAAAGAATGATAGAAACTGTGAATCTACCATTCCCTCAGCGGGTTCAGTTTCACCGTGTGATGCTAAGGTTTTAATTCAGCGTGGCTCCAAAAACCTAAGATCAGTATTTCCTCTGGTGCCCAGCTGAAGAAGAGGTAATCTGTTCTCACACTGGAGGATGAAATGAATCTACTAGACTTTCTGAGAGATGCACTGTGGGCAAGCATGGGGACTTTTAAGAGTAGATAATTGTAGCCAGGCACAGTGGCTCATGCCTGTATTCCCAACACTTTGGGAGGCCGAGGTGGGCAGATCGCTTGAGGCCAGGAGTTCGAGACCAGCCTGGCCAACATGGCAAAACTCTACTAAAACTACAAAAATTAGCTGAACGTGGTGGTGCACGCCTGTAATCCCAGTTATTCAAGAGGCTGAGGCAGGAGAATTGCTTGAACCCCAAAAGGCAGAGGTTGCAGTGAACCAAGATCACACTCCACTCCAGCCTGGGTGACAGAGCAACACCACGTCTCAAAAAAAAAAAAAAAAAAAAAAGAGTAGATAATTTTAACTATATGTGATTTGACCTCATGCTCTGATTTGAAATCGAATCCCGCATACAATGAGAGCCAAATATGACCAGTCCTTCTGTGTCTTTTACTCTCCCCTTCACTACACACAACCTAAACCCACTGTGCCTGACTGGACGCGGTGGCTCACGCCTGTAATCCCAACACTTTGGAGGCCAAGGCGGGCGGATCACCTGAGGTCAGGAATTCAAAACCAGCCTGGCCAACATGGCAAAACCCCGTCTCTACTAAAAAAAAAAAAAGAAAAAAAAATTAGCCAGTTGTGGTGGTGGGCGCCTGTAGTCCCAGGTACTCGGGACTGGGAGGCAGAGGTTGCAGTGAGCCGAGGTCACGCCACTGCACTCCAGCCTGGCGACAGAGTGAGACTCTGTCTCAAAAATAAAAATAAACCTGCTGTGCCTGACAACCTCTGACCCTCAGGTAGTTGTTAGTGGCACCCATTCATCTGCATGTGCCTAGGGACGGTACATTTATGCTGAAATGTATCATTTCAAAGCTCTTTCCTACATTTTGTCTCATTTAATTCTCAGAATATATGTTTTGTTTGTTTATTTTTGAGACAGAGTCTCACTCTGTTGCCCAGACTGGAGTGCAGTGGTGCAATCTCAGCTCACTGCAACCTCAGCCTCCCGGGTTCAAGAGATTCTCCTGCCTCAGCCTCCTGAATAGCTGGAATTACAGGCACCCGCCGCCAACCCCGGCAACTTTTTGTATTTTTAGAAGAGATAGGGTTTAGCCATGTTGGCCAGGTTGGTGTCAAACTCCTGACCTCAGGTGACCCGCCCGCCTCGGCCTCCCAAAGTGCTGGGACTACAGGCATGAGAGACTGGTCCAAAAAGCTATTCGGGAGGCTGAGGCAGGAGAATTGCTTGAACCCGGGAGGCGGAGGTTGCAGTGAGCCAAGTTCACACCATTGCACTTCACCCTGGGCGACAAAGCAAGACTTTGTCTCAAATAATAATAATAATAATAATAATTTTTAAAAATGCTGAACATCAAAACATTATAAAAATTAAAAGATGTCTGGGTGCGGTGGCTCATACATGTAATCCCAGCACTTTGGGAAGCTGAGGCGGGCAGATCACCTAAGGTCAGGAGTTCGATACCAGCCTGGCTAACATGGTGAAACCCCATCTATACTAAAAATACAAAAATTAGCCAGGCGTGGTGGTGCACACCTGTAATCCCAGCTACTCAGAAGGCTGAGACAAGAGAATCGCTTGAACCCGGGAGGCGGCGCTTGAACCCGGGAGGCCGAGATCGTGCCATTGAACTCTAGCTTGGGCAACAAGAGCGAAACTCTGTCTCAAAAATAAAAATAAAAATAAAAGATAAGGACACTGAGCAACAGGAACACTAACGAGGGGAGTGAGAACCAGTACCATGATTCCGAAGAGCAGATTAGCAGTATCTTGAAAAGATGAATACTTCCGCAACCCCCCGTCCAGCACTTCAACTCCTAGGTTTATCTCCCAGAGTAACTCCTACATGTGTTCAAGGAGACATAGATACCAACGCATACTGCAGCACTGTTTGTAATGGTAGAAAACTGAAAACACCCTAAATTTCAACCAAGTGAATTGATAAACACTGTCCAACAAAACTCTCTGTTCTCATGGAAATGTTTCCTCTCTATGTTCTCTATACACCATGGTGGCCACTAGCCACAGGCTCCTGCTGAACATGTGAAATGTGACTAGTGTGTCTGGGGAAGTAGATTATTTGTTTCGTCTAATTTTAATCTAAATAGCCACATGTGGCTAGTGGTTACCTTATCAGCACAGCTGTATAGCAGTGAAAATAAGTGAATTAGAGCTATACACGTTTCCACATAGATAAATCTCAAAAGCATTACACTGGATTAAAAAAAGCAAGTTTCAGAAGGCAGGACCCAGTGCCACCTTAGTGCCAGCTCTGTCAGGATACACCCAGTATGATCCTGCTATCAGAGGTCCCCAAGACCACCCTGAGGTTCAATGACTCACTAAGAGGAGTCACAGGATTTTGCTTGGAAGCGTAGGCATGGCTGTGATTTATGATAGTGAAGAGACACAAGGCACAATCAGCAAAGGGAAAAGATGCAGGAGCTGAAGTCCAGAGGAAACCAGGACAAGCTTCTAAGAGTCCTCTCCTAGTGGAGTCACACAGGACTCCATCAATTCCTACCGCCAAGTATGACAGCACGACGGATAGGCGGTCTACCAGGGAAGCTCATTACTCAGTGACCAGAGTTGTACTTGGGGGTGGTCGTGTACCAAAATGCCAGACTCCAGAAGGAGAGCAGGTGTTCAACATGAACCACATTGTTGGTGGAAACAGTTTAGGCACTCATCATTTGGGGAACGGCAGGAACCCTCCTGAAATCCAAGTTCCTAGATATCAGCCAAGGGCCAATCTTGCAAACAGGTCTTTCTAAGGATAGCAGTCTCAGGCCTGCTAGGTTAACTCTAAATTGCGCAGACACCATTTATATAAAAGTATAGAACATGACAAACAATACTATATATTGTTTAAAGATACACGCCGATATGCACAGAAGACTGTAAACACCAAATTCAGGGTTGTGGTTACATGTGAGGAAAAAGGAAGAGGAATGGGTTTGATGTAGGGGTATAGGGCCCTTCAGTTGCATCTCTAATGTTTTAGCTGTTAAGCTGGGTAACAGTATTTTGCTATAGCACTTCTTATACTTTCTCGAGCATGTGTGCACCTGAAGTATTAAACAAGAATGAAGACGTATCTGCTTATTACTATATGCTACTAACAGTTCAGTCTTTTGTTTGTTTTTAGACAGGGTCTCACTCTGTTGCCTAGCTAAGCTGGAGTGCAGTGGTGAGATCTTGGTTCACTGCAACCTCTGCCCCCAGGGCTCAAGCAATCCTCTCACCTCAGCCTCCTGAGTAGCTGGGACCACAGGCACATGCCACCACACCCGGCTAATTTTTTTATGTTTTGTAGAGACAGGGTTTTGCCCAGGCTGGTCTCGAACTCCTGAGGTCAAGCAATCTACCCGCCTCAGCCTCCCAAAGTGCTGGGATTACAGGCGTGAGCCACTGCACCTGGCTGGTTCATGTTTATTGAGTACTTTTCACATTCCAGGTACTATGCTAAACCCACCCTTTACATAGATTTATTCTTTTTTTTTTTGAGACGGAGTCTTCCTCTGTCACCAGACTGGAGTGCAGTGGTGCAATCTAGGCTCACTGCAACCTCCACCTCCCAGGTTCAAGCAATTCCCCTGCCTCAGCCTCCCAAGTAGCTAGGACTACAGGTACGCACCACCACGGCTGGCTAATTTTTTGTATTTTAGTAGAGACAGGTTTTAATCATGTTTGCCATGATGGTCTCGATCTCCTGACCTGGTAATCCGCCCACCTCGGCCTCCCAGAGTGTGTGACTCACTGCGCCCAGCCAGATTTATTCTTTTTGAAAAATTGATTGAGGACTTTCTATGAGCCACGTCCTCTGCTAAGCTCTGGAAGTACAACATTGAGAGGTGTGAGCTAGGCGAGATCTCTTCTCACAACCAGCTTTCAATCTACTGAGGGATGATGAGATAATAAGCACAATTTAAAACCAAAATAAGTAGAAATTCTTTTTTTCTTTTTAAGATGGAATCTCTCTCAGTTGCCCAGGCTTGAGTGCAGTGGCGTGATCTCGGCTCATTGCAGCCTCTGCCTCCCCGGTTCAAGCAATTCTTCTGCCTCCTGAGCAGCTGGGACTACAGGCACGTGCCACCACGCCCAGCTAATTTATTTATTTATTTATTTATTTATTTTGTATTTTTTTTTTTTAGTAGAAACGGGGTCTTGCCATGTTGGCCAGGCTGGTCTCGAACTCCTGACCTCAAGTGACCGGCCCGCCTTGGCCTCCTAAAGTGCTGGGATTATAGGTGTGAGCCACCATGCCCACCCGAAAATAAGTACAAATTCTGATATGCGTTACTAAGATCATAAAACTGAGTGATGTGATTAAGAAAAAGCTACTTTATTTATTTATTTATTTTTTTTGACACGGAGTCTTGCTCTGTCACCCAGGCTGGATTGCAGAGGCACGATCTCAGCTCACTGCAACCCTCACCTCTCAGATTCAAGCGATTCACCTGCCTCAGCCTCCCAAGTAGCTGGGACTACAGGCGCCCGCCACCACGCCCGGCTAATTTTTTGTATTTTTAGTAGAGATGCGGTTTCACCATGTTAGCCAGGATGGTCTCGATCTCCTGACCTCGTGATCCGCCTGCCTTGGCCTCCCAAAGTGCTGGGATTACAGGCATGAGCCACCGCGCCCGGCCAAGAAAGTGCTACTTTAAATAGGGTACTCTGGGAAGTCTTCTTTCAGAGGACATTTGAGCTGAACCACAAGCGAAGAGAAAGAGACAGCCATGCAATTATCTGGAGGAAGCACATTCCAGGCAGAGGGAACGGCAAGTGCAAAGCCCTGCGGCAGAAATAAGCTGGGTGTGTTGAAAGAAGGGAAATAAAGCCAGCTGGGCTTGAGAGCGGTGACAAGAGGAAGAATGGTAGATGAGGCCTGAGAGGTCAGCTGAGGCCACCACGCAGGGCCGCCTAAGCCATAGGAAAGATCTTAGGTTTCATTCTAAGTAGGATAAGCCTCTGAAGGTTTTAAGCAGAGTAATGACATGATCTGGTTTACAAGTGAAGATCATTCAGCCAGCTGTAAGGAGAATGCATCATAGACAGGGCCACATTCTTCATTAGCGCCACGGAAATAATGCTGGTGGATCATGAGCTTCTCAGGGGCTACGAAAAGGTCAGGGACAGGGATAAAGGGAAAAAAGTTCCACAATGCAAAGAGAAAACTACAAAGTTGGAATGAATAAATGTTTAATTAAGCATCTAGAAATGTGACATCATGACAACTGCATTAATCATTAAATTTAGTATTCATAAGCAATCGAATTACATTTGGAAATTAGATTTTCTCAAATCACAAATATCCCTAAGTATGCAATGATTGCCAAGAAATCAAGCGAATCATAAATGTGAGTTTCCTTGAAGCCAAATAATTTCAAAAGAATAAAAACAAAGCTTTCGATTTTTTAACAGCTAAAAAGAATTTTTCTTAACTTAATGTGAGATGTAGATACCAAAAATGGGCTAGGCGCTGTAATCCCAGCACTTAAGGACAAGATAGGTGGACTGCTTGAGGCCAGGAGTTTCAAGACCAGCCTGGGCAACAGCGAGACCCTGTCTCTACAAAAAATTTAAAAAGTATAAGAGGCAGGGCACGGTGGCTCATGCCTGTAATCTCAGCACTTTGGGCGGCCGAGGTGAGTGGATCACCTGAGGTCAGGAGTTTGAGACCAGCCTGGCCAACATAGTGAAACCCCATCTTTACTAAAAATACAAAAATTAGCTGGGTAAGGTAGCGTGTGCCTGTAGTCCCAGCTACTCGGGAGGCTGAGGTGGGAGAATCGCTTGAAGCTGGAAGCAGGAGGTTGCAGTGAGCTGAGATTGCGCCACTGCATTCCAGCCTGAGTGACAGAGCAAGACTCCCTCTCAAAAAAAAAATAAAATAAAATAAAACAAATTAGGCATGGTGGCACGCACTGGTGATCCCAGCCACTCGGGAGGCTGAGGTGGGAGGATCACTTGAGCCCAAGAGTTCCAGGTTATAGTGAGCCACGATTATGCCACTTGCACTCCAGCCTGGGCAACAGACCTCTATTAAAAAAAAAAAATCCCACAGGAACTGGATTGTTTAAAAAGAAAAGGAAAAGGAAAACATACTAGCACAGTGAGTGAGTCCTAGTGAGCCCACAGAGGTGACTGGGTAAGAAATACTAGTGCCTTGGCTCAGTGCTGTTCAGGCGTACGGCCTGTGAGTTTGAACACTGTCCAGAGCACCCTTAGAAAGGCCTCTCTGGGGAGAGGACATTTGAACAGAGACTTGAATGACAAGAAGGCATAAGCCATGCCAAGAGCCTAGGAGAAGAGGTTCTGGGCAGAGGCTTTGCACTGGGAGTGGCTTGTCAGAATTTTAACAAAAAGAGGGTTACTTAGCCTGGTTTGAAGTTGGAGCTGGGTGGTTAACAGGAGACAAAGCATAGAGTTTCAAAGACAATGCTCTCATCCGGAGAAGTGACCTGGTCAAATGTGTTTCTGACCTTCGCTGTCCAGTAATACAGGAGCCACTTGTCACACGGGCTCAGGAGCACTCAACTGCGGCTATCAAGACAGCTAAACTGAACTTTCTTTTTTAAAATTTAATTTTAATTTTTAGAGACAGGGTCTCACTCTGACACTCAGGCTGGAGTGCAGTGGCTGGAGCATTCTGGGCTCAAGAGATCCTCCTGCCTCAGCTTCAGGAGTAGCAGACACTACAGGTATGCACTACCACACCTGGCTTATTCTTTTATTTTTTGTAGATATGAGGTCTTGTTATGTTGCCCAGGCTGATCTTGAACTCCTGGCCTCAAGAAATCCTCCATGACCAGCCTCTAAAATTACAAATAATAATAAAAAAAGATATGGCCGGGCACAGTGGCTCACGCCTGTAATCCCAGCACTCTGGAAGGCCGAGGCGGGCGGATCACTTGAGGTCAGGAGTTCGAGACCAGCCTGGCCAACATGGTGAAACCCCGTCTCTACTGAAAATACAGAAAAAAAATTAGCTGGTTGTGGTGGTGGGCACCTGTAATCCCAGCTACTCAGGAGGCTGAGGCAGGAGAATCGCTTGAACCCGGGAGGTAGAGGTTGCAGTGAGCCGAGATCGCGCCATTGCACTCCAGCCTGAGTGACAGCGCGAGATTCCATCTCAAAAAAAAAAAAGTGGCTTCCAAAAAATGTTAATTTTACACCTAATTTTGGTGCGCGGCTGGCATTATTTTTCCACTGGGCAGCACTGATCGCCCGTGGGGGCAGAGACTCTGAGACCTGGAGTCTCCCAGGCCGGGGGCGACGGCCCAGACGGGAGGCGGTGGAGAGAAGTTTCCGGATGTATTATGTGGTCATGAATCATGTCAGGGAATTGCCACGGCCCCCGTTGAATGGGGAGGCGCTGCCTCGGGCGCTGAGTAGCAGAGCCCGGACTCTGAACACTGGTCTGCCCCCGAACTGGAACTCCCATTTTCAGTACCGTCCGCTTGAAACCTCCCAAGAGCCCTCAAGGGGGCGAGAGAGGGATCCAAACCCCTCGGGGGCGAGAGCGGGATCCGAACCCCTCGGGGGCGAGAGCGGGATCCGAACCCCTCGGGGGCGAGAGCGGGATCCGAACCCCTCGGGGGCGAAAGCGGGATCCGAACCCGGCCGGATTCCCGAGGTCTGAGCGCGCCTCGTGACCGCCACTCCGAACGTTCGCAACGTTCACAACGGACTCCCGCGCCGCTGGACCTCAAGGGTCAGGAGCCACTCAGAAAAGCTCCAGGAAACGCTCACCTGTTGACAGACGCTGAGGCCGCAAACGCTCCTCCTCTCTCTTCACACTCGCCAACACCGCGGTGGCGCTCGACTTCCGCTTCTCTCCAGCGAATCCCCAGCTGAGCCTCCTTCTGCTCCCGCCACCATTACCAATCCAGCCAATAAACTCTCAGAAAACCCTCTTTATCTCCGCCCCACTCCCTCCTGCCAATCACTTCGGGTGCGAGCACCGCCCTTCCCGCCTTCTTTAGCGAGCGCCGCGCGCCACCGCTCGGCGGGTGGCGGCGCTGCGCGCTGCGGGATGCATCTCCCGGAAAAGCGAGGCGAGGGGCGGGCCACGCCGGTGCGGGAACCCTCAGGATTGGCCAGAAGGAGGCCGGCGCTGTGACTCCGTCCATTCCCGCCGTTGACATCCAAGTCGGAGACGCTGGGGATTGGTTTCCAGCGGACACGCTAAGAAGCTTGGAGATAGTTTCGCCCTCCTCACACGCTGCGGAGAGGGAGCTCCGCTGATTGGTCCGAGGAGTCTGGGCGCGCGCCGATCGGCGCTCCAGGACTGGCTGAGGGGGTGCGCGCGCCGCCAGGGAGCGTTGGCGGTGATTGGCCAGAGGGCGGAGGCCGGCTATTTGAAGGCGGCGCGCGGACTAGGTGCGCACTTCAGTTCTCGGAGAGAAGAGGCGGGAGTGGACCTGGTCAGCCCTACCCCACTGACCCCACCGGACCCAGGCGCGGCCTCCGCCACAGCCACAGCCCCTGCCCCTGCTGCGGCGCGGCGAGGCGAGGCGATGGCCAAGGTGTCGGTGCTGAACGTGGCGGTCCTGGAGAACCCGAGCCCTTTCCACAGCCCCTTCCGGTTCGAGATCAGCTTCGAGTGCAGTGAAGCCCTGGCGGACGGTGAGGCTGGGCCTGTGCGGGGACCCCCACCCCCGGGCCGACCCCGGCCTCCCCTCAGAGAACCGCTCCCATGGCCAACTTGATCTCCCCCATGAAACCCCTCGTCCCCCTTCCGCCAACCCCGATCTCCCCCAGCCCGCCAGTCAACCGGATCTCCCGGTGGAGACCCCCCGCCACCAGCCAACACGGACCTCCCCGTGACCTCCTCCCCCACTGCCCGCCTTGACCTCCCGGGTGGAGACCCCCCGCCAGCTAACTCGGACCTCCCAGTGGCCTCTTCCCCCACTGCCCGCCCCGACCTCCCCATAGAGATTAACCCCCTCCAAGCCCCATTTCCCGCGTGGGGAACCTCATCCATCTTTTTTCTCTGGAGCTCTTCCTAGGTACCCGTTTTCATGGGGAGACCTTCTCGGCCTCCATTTCTTAACCCACGGAGATCTTCAGCCACCGTGGTTTCCCTGTGGCAAGACCCCCGCTTCAACCACCCACCCATTTTTGCCCACTTATTCCCTCTTTCCTGTAGTGAGATACTCACACCTCCCATTTTCCCTCTGGAGACCCCCAATATCCAGCCCCTTCCCATTTTCCCCGGGGGAAATCCCAGCCATCTCCTATTTTCCCTATGGAGACCTCTCACCCAAGCTCCTCTCTCCTTGCCGTGAAGACCCTCCCCTCCAGTAACCTTTTTTTCCTGTGAAAACCCCTCAACCCCTTTTCAGGACCTCTCTCAACCCCATCTTCCCATTTGTGTCCCACCAGTCCCCTCCCCAACCTGCCAATATTTCAATAACCCCACGCCCACCAGTTGCTGCCGCTTTTCTGCCCCAATGCACATACCCTGGAACCTGGTTTCTCTCCTTCGTTGGGGCCCAACCCCCCTATGCTTGAGCTCTCCCTGGGAAAGGATGCTACCGTCTTTGAGGGGAACTTTGTCTCCCCAGCTCCCCTTCCCCACCTTTCTCTGTGGGCTTGGATAAACACACTGAGATCCGAGGGGTGGCATAGCCAGGCAGGCATTAGCTAGTTCTCCAGGTTTGCCCACCCGTTTCCAGCTGAGTTACTGCAGCAATTTTTCTGTCACTTTTTCTTTCTTCTTCTTCCTCTTCTTTTTTTTTTTTTTTTTTTTGAGACAGTCTCACTCTGTTGCCCAGGCTGGAGTGCAATGGCACGATCTCGGCTCACTGCAACCTCCACCTCCCGAGTTCAAGCGATTCTTCTGCCTCAGCCTCCCGAGTAGCTGGGACTACAGGCGCCTGTCACCACGCCCAGCTAATTTTAGTATTTTTAGTGGAGGCAGCGTTTCACCATGTTAGCCAGGTTGGTCTCGAACTCCTGACCTCAAGTGATCCACCCGCCTTGGCCTCCCAAAGTGCTGGGATTACAGGCGTGAGCCACCGTGCCCCGTCTTCTTCTTTTTTTTTTTTAATATAGCTGGATAATCAGTGCCAAGCTCCCGTTGCTTTTGATGGTCTGACCTAGTCTGGGGGGTGGGTGGATTGGGCTGAGCTGTGACGGGCTCCAGCTTCAAACAGTCGGCTGGAGCTTGGAGGTCACAGCCTCCTGTACATCTTTTCCAAGGTGCTTCCGTAGATGTACTTATTAATCTGTGTGACTTAAAGGTGGGCATGGCTCTCATCTCACAGATGAGAAGACAGGAGCCACAAAACGCAAAAGACCTTTCAAGTCAAGGCCTGTACAAATCCAAAATCTAAGGTCACCTAGGGAGCCTTGGCACCACTAACAGGCAAGTCCTGCTTTCAGGAAGAAGTACTCCATTAGGCCATTTTTCTACTTGGTGGTTGAAAGAGAAAAGGCAGCAGCCGAGGAGGTGGTGATCTGGGGGCCTGTGAAGCCAGGATATGCTAACTAGTGCCTCTCGGGGGCAGGTAGGTGTTTTGCCCTCAAAGCTGGTCGCCTGGACTAGCTTGGAGCTGATAGAGTGAGATGTGGATGTGCTTTGGGTAGGCCAGTGGGTCTGTCTCTCCCCGGTCTCTCTCGCTCCTTTTTAAATTAAGGAGTCTACTTGTGGCTAACTATAGAATATGCCGAGTTAAATCCTTTCTGGAACAAGGCAGCGGGTAAATAAATAAATAAAGTGTAGAATGACGCTGTGGAATAAGATTTAATTTAAAAGCCAGGAGGAGATGGAAGGAAGTAATAGGTTGAGGGATTCCCAGCTCCCCGACGGCAGGAGATCAGGTTTCAATCAGCCTGTTTGTGTTCCTTGCATTTAAAAATGGTTGTGGCCGAGCGCGGTGGCTCACGCCTGTAATCCCAGCACTTTGGGAGGCCGAGGCGGGCGGATCACGAGGTCAGGAGATCGAGACCATCCTGGCTAACACGGTGAAACCCCGTCTCTACTAAAAAACACAAAAAATTAGCCGGGCGTGGTGGCGGGCGCCTGTAGTCCCAGCTACGCGGGAGGCTGAGGCAGGAGAATGGCGTGAACCCGGGAGGCGGAGCTTGCAGTGAGCCGAGATCGCGCCACTGCACTCCAGCCTGGGCGACAGAGCGAGACTCCGTCTCAAAAAAAAAAAAAAAAAAAAAAAATGGTTGTGCGGTCATTATCTGGTACTTCTACTCCTAGGAAGCCCCTGCCCTGTGACTTTACTAACTTATTTATAGAATTAGAGCCGGAAGGGCTAAATTCAACCTGCTGGTCCTTTTTTTGTTTTTTTGGAGATGAAGTCTTGCTCTTGTCCCCCAGGCTGGAGTGCAATGGCGCGATCTTGGCTCACTGCAACCTCCACCTCCCAGATTCAAGCGATTCTCCTGCCTCAGCCTCCCGAGCAGCTGGGATTACAGGTGCCTGCTATGACGCCTGGCTAATTTTTGTATTTTTAGTAGAGACGGGGTTTCACCATCTTGGCCAGGCTGGTCTTGAACTCCTGACCTCAGGTGATCCGCCCGCCTCAGCCTCCCAAAGTGCTGGGATTACAGGCGTGAGCCACTGCGTCCAGCCTCTGCTGATCATTTTTTAATAGAAATGGAGTGACTTCACCAGAGTCACACAGCCAGTTTGTAGAAGTATTGGCACTGAAGTTTTGAATCTAAATTCTTTATCTTTGCTCCAATCCAGGGAAAGAAAGGAAGGATTCCCTGTTTCAGGGGTGGAGCATAGATAGGAATGACCACAGAATTTATTGCCTAATCAGGACACTCAAAATGCAGTGAAGGGAAGTGCTATTATTATTATTTATTTATTTATTTATTTATTTATTTATTTTTGAGATGGAGTCTCGCTGTGTCACCCAGGCTGGAGTGCAGTGGCGTGATCATGGCTCATTGCAAGCTCCGCCTCCCGGGTTCACGCCATTCTCCTGCCTCAATCTCCCAAGTAGCTGGGACTACAGGCGCCCGAAACCATGCCCAGCTAACTTTTTGGATTTTTAGTAGAGACGGGGTTTCACTGTGTTACCCAGGATGGTCTCGATTTCCTGACCTTGTGATCCGCCCGCCTCGGCCTGGGATTACAGGCGTGAGCCACCGTGCCCGTCGTATGATTATGATGATGATGATGATTATTATTAGAAATGGAATCTCACTATGTCACCCAGGCTACAGTGCAGTGGTGCAATCTCAGCTCACTGCAATCTCCACCTCTCGAGTTCAAGCGATTCTCCGGCCTCAGTATCCCAAGTAGTTGGGATTACAAGCTTGAGCCACCATGCCCGGCTAATTTTTGTGTCTTTAGTAGAGACGAGGTTTCACCATGTTGGCCAGGCTGGTCTCAAACCTGATCGCAAGTGATATGCCCACTTCAGCCTCCCAAAGTGCTGGGATTACACTTTGAATCCTAAGCGCCTGGCCAGAGAATGCTATTGTTAATTGTACCTGGATGATAAAGCTTTTCCTTTGAGTAACTCAAGTGAGAAATCCTGGCTCTTCCAGTCCTAGGGCTCTCTGTGACTGATCTGCCAGCTTGCTTTCTGCCTCCTTCTGGACTCCTCTCCATGAAAAAGGGAGAATCTGCCTCACTCTCAGCAGCGTCAACTGAAAATCTGACAAAACCCCCAACCCAGCTGTGTGAGGTGGCTCATGCCTGTAATTCCAGCACTTTGGGAGGCTAAGGAAGGAGGATCTCTTGAGCCCAGGAATTTGGGCCAGCCTGGGTAACATAGCAAAACCTTGTCTCTACAGAAACATCAAAAAATTAACGGGACTTGGTGGCACGTGTCTGTGGTCCCAGCTACTCAGGAGGCTGAAGTGGGAGGATTGCATGAGCCCAGGAGGTCAGGGCTGCAGTGAGCCATGATTGCACCACTGCACTCCAACCTGGGTGAGAGAGCAAGACCCCCATCTCAAAAAAAAAAAAAAAAAAAACCACCCTAACCCCTAAGCCCCAGTTGGGTGACCCCTATTTCTCAGGGGCCCCAAGCCCCCTTTGCACTTTTATCTTCCACATCTGGAAATAGATTCTTCCACATTTAGCTGAGAAATTCAACAGACACTGGTTGAATAAGTCATAGAAGCCAGATGTTCTGACCCAGAAATAACGAAGTTGTTATGGCAGCAGAGCTCATCTTTGATTATGAACAAAGGCAAAAAGCAAACAAACAAAGGAGGCCTGGCATGGTGGCTCACGCCTGTAATCCCAGCACTTTGGGAGACCAAGGCGGGCAGATTACCTGAGGTCAGAAGTTCGAGACCAGCCTGGCCAACATGGTGAAACCCCGTCTCTACTAAAAATACAAAAAATTAGCCGGGTGTGGTGGCGGGCGCCTGTAGTCCCAGCTACTCGGGAGGCTGAGGCAGGAGAATGGCGTGAACCCAGGAGGCAGAGCTTGCAGCGAGCCGAGATTGCACCACTGCACCCCAACCTGGGCAACAAAGCAAGACTCCATCTCAAAAAAAAAAAAAAAGAAAAAGCCAGGTGTGGTGGCTCACACCTGTAATCCCAGCACTTTGGGAGGCCGAGGCGGATGGATCACAAGGTCAGGAGTTCGAGACCAGCCTAACCGACGTGGTGAAACCCCGGCTCTACTAAATACAAAAATTAGCCAGGCATGGTGGCACGCAGCTATAATCCCAGCTACTCAGGAGGCTGAGGCAGAAGAATCGCTAGAACCCGGGAGGCAGAGGTTGCAGTGAGCTGAGATTGTGCCACTGCACTCCAACCTGGGTGACAGAGCGAGACTCTGTTTCAAAAAAAAAAAAAGAAAAAAAAAATGGCCAGGCACAGTGGCTTACCCCTGTAATCCCAGCATTTTGGGAGACCAAGGCAGGTGGATCATCTGAGGTCAGGAGTTTGAGACCAGCCTGGCCAATGTGGTGAAACCCTGTCTCTACTAAAAATACAAAAGTTAGCCAGGCTTGGTGGCAGGTGCCTGTAGTCCCAGCTATTTGGGAGGCTGAGGCAGGAGAAGCGCTTGAACCCGGGAGATGGAAATTGCAGTGAGCCCAGATTGCGCCATTGCACTCCAGCCTGGGCGACAGAGCAAGACTGTCTCAAAAAAACAACAACAAAAAAGCAGGAAGCAGACTTTTTAGCTAGTTCAGCTATACTAATTGTGTACATGTCTTTAGTCTTATCATTTATATATATATATATATATATATACACACAAACACACAGTGGAGGTATGTCTTGCACAGGGACTAGCTTGTGAAGTTAGCGCAGAGAGATAACATGGGACACAGTTGAGTTGCCTTGACATTGCTCAGAAGGTTAGGTACACACGTCATGTGTACAGCTGTGTCCTGTACTCATAGCTATGAGTTCCTGCTGTATTGGTGATTTGTGTCCCATGTATAATTCTAAAGAAAGATTATATTTAGAGATGAAATCATACACGTATGTCTCTACTTATAACACTGCAGCCAGATTTTTTTTTTTTTTTTTAAAGAGATAGGGTGTCACTATGTTGCCCAGACTGGACTTGAACTCCTGGGCTTAAGCAGTCCTCCCACCTCAGCTTCCTAAGTAGCTGGAACCACAGGTGCACATCACCATGCCTGGGCACTTCAGCAAATTTAAGATGATTCTCGACTGGGCATAGTGGCTCATGCCTGTAATCCCAGCACTTTGGGAGGCCAAGGCAGGCGGATCACAAGGTCAGGAGATCGAGACCATCTTGGCTAACACAGTGAAACCCCGTCTCTACTAAAAATAGAAAAAAAAATTAGCCGGGCGTGGTGGGGGGTGCCTGTAGTCCCAGCTGATTAGGAGGCTGAGGCACAAGAATGGCATGAACCCGGGAGGCGGAGCTTGCAGTGAGCCGAGATCGTGCCACTGCACTCTAGTCTGGGCAACAGAGTGAGACTCCATGTCAAAATAAAATAAAATAAATTAGAATTACAGGTGCACACCACCACGCCCAGCTAATTTTTTATATTTTTAGTAGAGATGGAGTCTCACTCTGTCACCCAGGCTGGAGTGCAGAGGCACGATCTCAGTTCACTGCAACCTCAGCCTCCCGAGTAGCTGAGACTACAGGGGCATGCCACCACGCCTGGCTAATTTTTTGTATTTTTTGTATCACCATGTTGCCCAGGCTGATCTCGAACTTCTGAGCTCAAGCAATCCACCCGCCTCAGCCTCCCAAAGTGCTAGGATTACAGCCATGATCCAATGATCCACCTCACCTGGCCCTATACCTATAACTCTTTTTTTCTTCCTTTCTTTCCTTCTTTCTTCTTTTTTTTTTTTTTTTTTTTTTTTTTTTTTTTGACGGAGGCTGGCTCTGTTGCCCAGGCTGGAGTGCAGTGGCAAAATCTCGGCTCACTGCAATCTCTGCTGCCTCCCAGGTTCAAGCAGTTCTTATGCCTCAGACTCCTGAGTAGCTGGAATTACAGGTGCACACCATCATGCCCAGCTAAATTTTTATATTTTTAGTAGAGATGGGGTTTCACCATGTTGCCCAGGTTGGTCTCGAACTCGTGAGCTCAGGCAATCTGCCTGCCTCGGCCTCCCAAAGTGCTAGGATTACAGGTGTGAGCTGCCGTGCCCAACCAGCTTCTGTAACTCTTGAGTCAGTATTTCTCTACAGCCGTTAGTTAATTCTCCAGTTTCTTTCCAGCCCTGGTTGAAAGAGCCATTTCAGCCCCTGTGCCTGACAGTCAACACAGTACATTTTTTCTTTTTCTTTTTTTTCCTTTGAGATAGGGTCTCTGTCGTCCAGGCTGGAATGCAGTGGCTCGATCATGGCTCACTGCAGCCCTGAACTCCTAGGCTCAAGCGATCCTCCAACCTTAGCCTCCCGCATAGCTGGGACCACCGGCACGCGCCACCACACCCAATTAATTTTGTTGATTTTTAATAGAGTCGAGTCTGCCTATGTTGCAGGGGCCCATTTATTTCGGTGAGTTTCCACATGCTCTTTGTTTAGGTTTTGCCGATTAGTATTGACCTCAGCTGGACAACATCAGGTGCTCGTGGGTACACTTTAGTCTTTTTTGTCTACCTTCCCAGGACATGAATTAAATGCACCCGTACAGGATTCTACCGGCTATGAGAGGAAAGGGCTCAAGGATATACACCAAAATGATACAACTGCTTTAGAAAGGAGAGAGCAGGGCTGGCTGGCTTTTCTGTCTTCCCCCAAAACTTGATTCCAGTTGTGTCACTACTTGTAACAAAAATAAATCAACAGGCTGGACATGATGGCTCAGACAAATTCCAGCACTTTGGGAGGCCAAGGCGGGAGGATTGCTTGAGACCAGGCTGGGCAACCAAGCAAGACCTCATCTCTAAAAACAATTTAAAAATTCCCTGGGCGTGTGGCACAAGCCTGTGGTCCCAGCTACTTGGGAGGCTAAGGCAAGAGAATCACTTGAGCGCAGGAATTTGTGGCTGTAGTGAGCTATGATTATGCCACTGCACTGCAGCCTGGGTGACGGACCGAGACCCCATCTCCAGTGAAAAAAGTCAACTTCCTCCCTGCAAATAGTAAGAGGCTAGTTCGACCAAACACCTGTGAGTTCAATGGTCACCCGTATCCTACAGACCTGCTATAGGGTTCCTGAGTGAAACCACAAAGGGACAGGCAGCCAGTGCATCAAAGAAGGGCATGGGGCTCAGGTGACAAGCCTCTGTAGTCATGACCTGGCAGCAGCATGCTTCCAAAGTTGGATGCTCTTGTGGGACACTGGACCAAGGAACAGGGCAGCTTCTGAGAGAGTTTGCTTCCTGTGAAAATCACAGCTTGTGAAACTTCCCCCAGCTGCTAGAGCTGAAGGGTTGTGTAATTTCTAAAGAGCCAAAAATAAGTTTCAAGCCTCTTGCCAAGCCTCCCTGTACCAGCATGACCTTGCCCCTGATACACTTGGACCTCCTGCAAGAGGCCATGTTGACCGGAATTTCCTGTGATTGACAGCCAGAGGTTCCATAAGCACTTTCCTTTCATCTCAATGGAGCATATTCAGGGGAGGGGGCCCTCCTGCTGGATGGGGTGCAAGAGTTAGGGTTTGAGGCTGGGCACGGTGGCTCACACCTGTAATCCCAGCACTTTGGGAGGCGGAGGCGGATGGATGACCTGAGGTCAGGAGTTCGAGACCAACCTGGCCAACATGGTGAAACCCCATCTCTACTAAAAATACAAAACATTAGCCGGCTGTGGTGGCGGGCGCCTATAATCCCAGCTACTCAGGAGGCTGAGGCAGGAGAATCACTTGAACCCGGGAGGCAGAGGTTGCAGTGAGCCGAGATCTCACCATTGCACTCTAGCCTGGACAACAAGAGTGAAACTGTCAAAAAAAAAAAGTGTTTGGAGGATCACCCCGGGATGCCACATTTGTTGACTGAGTTGCCCAAATGTCTCTAAGTAGGCATGACTTGGTGCCAGATCTGGAAGACCAGGGTGGCTGGCTCCCTGAGCAACCTCACCTTCCCCCTCCTGCAGGCTGGCTCTCCTGCCGGATTGGAATCTGCCACCCTGCCCCAGTTGTCGAGGGATCCACTTCGTTGAGTGGCACCGGTCCCTGTGTGTGAAAGAGGATGCTGCTTCCTATCCCAGCACCCAGTGGGCAGGGCCCTGAAATGACCCAACTCCCTGCCGTTCCCTTCTCAGCACGTCTGTGTCACGTGGCTCTTAATTCAGCCTCTGCCATACAGTTCACGCTCAGGCCTTGAGAGGCCCAGGTTTCCCCAGAGGTATAGTCAAGGTCACCTGTCATAGCTAGGCTTACAAGACAGAATTCCCTAATGGAGGTAGAGCTTTGTGCCCACCTCAGCATTCAAGACTGCAGTGCCTGGCACTAAGTGTCTGACAGATGGAATAATAGTCTTTTAACATATTAAGGATCTGTCTAAAATTACCACAAGGCTGGGCACAGCAGCCCACACCTGTGATCCCAACATGGTGGGAGTCCGAGGCAGGAGGATCGCTTGAGCCCAGGAGGTTGAGGCTACAGTGAGCCATGAACATCCCGCTGCACACCAGCCTAGGCAACAGAGGGAGACTGTCTCAAAAAATAAGTAAATAAAAATAAAATAGAAGATGTGGCCGGGCGCAGTGGCTCACACCTGTAATCCCACCAGTTTGGAAGGCTGAGGCGGGCAGATCACTTGAAGTCAGGAGTTGGATACCAGCTTGGCCAACATGGTGAAACCCCATCTCTACTAAAAATACAAAAACAGGCCAGGTACAGTGGCTCACACCTGTCATCCCAGCACTTTGGGAGGCCAAGGCGGGTGGATCACCTGAGGTCAGGAGTTCTAAACCAGCCTGATCAACATGGTGAAACCCTGTCTCTACTAAAAATAAAAAAATTAGCCAGCCATGATGGCAGGTGCCTGTAATTCCAGCTACTCAGTAGGCTGAGACAGGAGAATCGCTTGAACCTGGGAGGCAGAGATTGCAGTGAGCCAAGATCACACCATTGTACTCCAACCTGGGTGACAAGAGTGAAACTCCATCTCAAAAAAGAAAAAAAAAATTAGCTAGGCGTGGCAGCGGGCACCTATAATCCCAGCCACTCGGGAGGCTGAGGTATGAGAATCACTGGAACCTGGGAGGCGGAAGTTGCAGTGAGCTGAGATCGCATCACTGTATTCTAACCTGTGTGACAGAACGAGACTCCATCTCAAAAAAAAAAAAAAATACAAGAGCCTATCCCTGCCTTCTTGCTGTTGAGCTATTTCAATTAGTTAACCCTCCTATATCTTTGCAGACCTGGAGTGGAAGATCATTTATGTTGGCTCGGCTGAGAGTGAGGAATTTGATCAGATCCTAGACTCGGTGCTGGTGGGCCCTGTGCCAGCAGGGAGACACATGTTTGTCTTTCAGGTAAGAAAGATGAGGCCTTAGGCCTTAGCCCTTGATTCCTAGAAACATCCTCTTTTACCTGAAATCCCACAGAGTGCTTCAGGAATCAAAAGTTCAAGTTCAGCTGGGCACGGGCTCACGCCTATAGACCCAGCTACTCCAGGGACTGAGGTGAGAGGATTGCTTGAGCCCGGGAGTCTGAGGCTGCAGTGAGCCACTGCACTCCAGCCTAGGCAACACAGTGAGACCCTGTCTCTAAAAAAGAAAAAAACAAGTATTAAAAACATAGAGGCCGGGCACAGTTGCTCACACCTGTAATCCCAGCACTTTGGGAGGCCGAGGTGGGAGGATTGCTTGAGGCCAGGAGTTTGAGACCAGCTGGGGCAATATAGTGAGACCGCATCTCTACAAAAAATGTAAAAATCAGCAGAGCATGGTGGTGTGCGCCTGTAGTCTCAGATACTTGGGAGGCTGAAATGGGAGGATCACTTGAGCCTGGGAGATGGAAGCTACAATGAGCCAAGACCACACCACTGCACTCCAGCCTGGGCAACAGTAAGACCCAGTCTCAATCAATCAATTAAAACAATTTAAAAGTTCAGGTTCAAATCCTAGTTCTACTGTCAGGAACTATCTGACCTCTCAGAGGCCGTCAGGCCCTCCCTTCCCCCACCTCTGTGTCAAAGCTGCCACTGATTTACAGGCAATTCCCATTATTTACAAGAGTTACGTTCTATAAAGTTGCCGCGAACACTGAATTAGTGAATACTGAACCATTGCCCCAGGGGAAATACAGGGTTAGATTCTTGGAAGTCACATTTTCGTCAGCTGGTTAATACGTAAACTTGTATGTGTGTTTATGTTGAAAAGACACCAGGACGGCTATGATGGCTCAAACCTGTAATCCCAGCACTTTGGGAGGCTGAGGTGGGTGGATCGCCTGAGGTCAGGAGTTCAAGACCAGCCTGGCCAATGTGATGAAACCCCGTCTCTACTAAAAATACAAAAATCAGCCAGGTGTGGTGGCGCATGCCTGTAATCCCAGCTACTCGGGAGGCTGCGGCGGGAGAATCGCTTGAACCTGGGAGATGGAGATTGCAGTGAGCTGAGATCGCACCAGTGCACTCTAGCCTGGGTGATACAGCGATACTCTGTCTCAGAAAAAAAGGAAAGATACCTTATTTAATATATACAGTGGTTCATTTATGTTGAATTCACAGCCAACAGCACTATAACTCTCCTGAATGAAACTTCTCTAATACGCATATTTTCCATAAAGCCTTTCTTGTATCCTACACTGCACTTCAGCACTACCGTTGGGTGCCATCATAGACAGCAAACTCACCAACAAAAAGCACAAAACATGGAAAAAAGCACTAAGTAGGCTGAGGAAAGGACGCTCATTCACAGTGAGAGCTGAGACCAGAAGACAGAGTGTTGCCTTGTTTGACCTCAGGTGGGAACAGGCGTGGTAGGTAACTCTAGGTGGGAACAGGCATGGTAGGTAACTCCAGTTTTTCCCTGCTCTGTGCATGTCTGCAAGTGACTGTGAAAGCAAGCAGGTGTTCATCTTGGGGTTACAAATAAACTTAGCAGGTAGGTGAACTTGCACATATGGAACCCATGAATAATGAGGATGGACTGTAACTCCTAAATGGCTCTCATGCAGCACCCCACCTGGGTTGTCAAATGTAGATTCTGGCCGGGTGTGGTGGCTTCCAGCACTTTGGGAGGCAGAGGCGGGAGGACTGCTTAAGGCCAGGAGTTCCAGACTAGCCTGGGCCACATAGCGAGACCCCCATCTCTACAAAAAATAGAAAAATTAGCCGGGTGTGGTGGCTTGCACCTGTCGTCCCAGCTACTTGGGAGGCTGAAGCAGGAGGCTTGCTTGAGCCTGAGAGTTTGAGGCTACAGCGAGCTATGATTGCACCTCTGCACTGCATTCTGGGTGACAGCGAGACCTGTCTCTACAAAAAAAACATTAACCAGGCATAGTGATGCAGGCCTGTAGTGCCAGCTACTAGGGAGGCTGAAGCAGAAGACTCACTTGAGGCCAGGTGCCATGGCTCACACCTGTAATCTCAACACTTTGGGAGGCTGGGGCAGGCAGATCACTTGGGGTCAGGAGTTAAAGACTAGCCTGGCCAACATGGTGAAACCCTGTCTCTACTAAAAAATACAAAAATTAGCTGGATGTGGTGGTGCACATTTGTTATCCTAGCTACTCGGGAGGCTGAGGCACGAGAATTATTTGAATCCAGGGGGCGGAAGTTACAGTGAGCTGAGATTGCGCCACTGCACTCGAGCCTGGGCAACAGAGTGAGACCCTGTCTCTAAAAAAAAAAAAAAAAAAAAATAGGCTCGCTTGAGCCCAGGAGTTCCAGGAGTTTACAGTGATCTGTGATTGCACCACTGCACTCCAGTCTGGATGACAGAGGGAAAAGCTATCTCTTTAAAAAAAGAAGGCCGGTGCAGTGGCTCACGCCTGTAATCCCAGCACTTTGGAAGGCCAAGGTGGGCGGATCACAAGGTCAGGAGATTGAGACCATCTTGGCTAACATGGTGAAGCCCCATCTCTACTAAAAAATACAAGAAATTAGCCAGGCCTGGTGGCGGGCACCTGTAGTCTCAGCTACTCAGGAGGCTGAGGCAGGAGAATGGCGTGAACCTGGGAGGCGGAGCTTGCAGTGAGCCGAGATCACGCCACTGCACTCCAGCCTGGGTGACAGTGAGACTCCATCTCAAAAAAAAAAAAAAAAAAAAAGAAGAAAGAAAAAACAAATGGAGATTCTGAGTTCTCCAGGTGATTTTTCAGGATCCTCTGCTCGGATACACTCCCTTACCTCCATCACTGCTGTTACCGCCCTAATCCAAGCTACCACATCCTATCTAACCCCTTCAGCCACCACTACTAAATCCACTGACAGGCCCTATCTACTCAACAGTCAGGACTGGCCTCCTGGGTGTGCAACCCAGGCAGCTGCACAGGACCCCACACTTGGTGCGATACTCTGCTGTCACCGTCTGAAACCTAATAGCTTTTCTGGAGGGGCGTGGTGTTTTCATTTTGCATTGGTTTTATTTTGCACCAATTACGTGGCTGGTCTTGTTTGCAGTAGTACACCCTGAATCTGTTCTTTACTGCCTGGTCTAAGCCAAGTCCACTGCCTCTCCAGGATGACTGGTGTAAGCCTTCTGCTCCACTACAGTCTCCTGTCACGGCTCCACACTTTGCCAGAGGCTTCTTTTCAGATCACAAGAGTGATGTGGCACTTAACCTCCTGCTTACTCTCTTGCCCTTTCCCAATCCCTTAGCTGGCCCCCGGGTGGCCTGATACCACCTGCCTCACCTGTTCAGCTTCATGCCACTGTCCCCCGGCTCACCACACTCCTCCAGAGTACCACGCACCTCTCCCTGCCACAGTCAACGTTTTGTAGTCATTTGTGGGATTGATTCTGTGTTTCCATCAGTTGACAACTCCTGGCTGGGCACAGTGACTCACACCTGTAATCCCAGCCCTTTGGGAGGCTGAGGTGAGAGGATCGCTTGAGCCCAGGAGTTTGAGACCAGCCTGGGCAACATGGAGAAACCCTGTCTCTACAAAAAATAATTGGCTAGACATGTTGGCACACACCGTTGTCCCAGCTATTTGGGAGGCTGAAGCAGGAGGATTGCTTGAGCCCAGGAGTTCAAGGATGCAGTGAGCCATGATGGCGCCATTGCACTCCAGCCTGGGTAACAGAGGGAGGCCAGACCCTGTGTAAAAAAAAAAAAAGTCCAGGCGCAATGGCTCACACCTGTAATCCCAACACTTTGGGAGGCCGAGGTGGGCAGATCACCTGAAGTCAGGAGTTTAAGACCAGCCTGGCCAACATGGTGAAATCCCGTCTGTACTAAAAATACAAAAAAAAGGCTGGGCGCAGTGGCTCACACCTGTAATCCCAACACTTTAGGAGTCCAAGACGGGTGGATCACCTGAGGTCAGGAGTTCGAGACCAGCCTGGCCAACATGGCGAAACCCCATCTCTACTAAAAATACAAAAATTAGCCGGGCATGGTGGTGGGCACCTGTAATCCCAGCTACTCGGGAGGCTGAGGCAGGAGAATCGCTTGAACCCGTGAGGCGGAGGTTGCAGTGAGCCGAGATCGCACCATTGCACTTCAGCCTGGGCAACAGAGCAAAACTCCATTAAAAAAAAATACCAAAAAAAAAAAAAAGTTAGCCGGGTGTGGTGGTGTGTGCCTGTAGTCCCAGCTGCCTGGGATGCTGAGGCAGAATTGTTTGAACCCGAGAGGCAGAAGTAAAAAAAAGAAAACTGAGGGCAGAGAGCATACTTTTTGCTCAGTAAATACATGATGCTTGGGAATCTTTGTACTAATGACATCGAGGCATGGCTGTGGCACTGCTAAGGCCTAGGATGTGTCTCCCCTAGGCCGACGCCCCCAACCCATCCCTCATCCCAGAGACTGATGCCGTGGGTGTGACTGTGGTCCTCATCACCTGCACCTACCATGGACAGGAGTTCATCCGAGTGGGCTACTACGTCAACAACGAGTACCTCAACCCTGAGCTGCGTGAGAACCCGCCCATGAAGCCAGATTTCTCCCAGGTGGGGCCTGTTTCCACTTCCTGCTTCCCACAAGGCCGTTCTTTATACTTGGGGGGAGTTCAGCCATTCAAATTGAGAGTCAAGGTCACTTCTTAAGGTTTTCAAGTAATATTCAGTTCTTACAGTACTGTGTTAGAAGAGGAGAAAAAGACCTTTGTCTCTCAAAGGCATGTCTTAGAGAATTAAGATTAGGCCAGCCTGGGCAACATAGTGAGACCCTGTCCCTAACCCCCGCAAAAAAAAAAAAAAAAAAAAATGAGCCAGACATGGGTGGTGTGCTCTACTCTGGAGGCTGAGGTGGGAGGATCGCTTGAGCCCAGGAGTTTGAGGCTGCAGTGAGCTCAGATCGTGCCACTGCATTCCAGCCTGACCAACAGAGTGAGACTGTCCCTTAAAAAAAAAAAGTCCTGGGCCAGGCACAGTGGCTCACGCGTTGTAATCCCAGCACTTTGGGAGGCCGAGGCTGTAGGATCACCTGAGGTCAGGAGTTTGAGACCAGCCTGGCCAACATGGTGAAAGCCCGTCTCTACTAAAAATACGAAAATGAGCCAGGTATGGTGCCTTGCACCTGTAGTCCCAGCTACACAGGAGGCTGAGGCAAGAGAATCGCTTGAACCCGGAAGGCAGAGGTTGCAGTGAGACGAGATCACAGCATTGCACTCCAGCCTGGGCAACAAAAGCAAAACTCCGTCTCAAAAAATAAATAAATAAATAAATAAATAAGGTCCTGGCCACAGGTGTTTTCTGGAGTTCCATATGTAGGTTGCTCTTGCTGGGCTTGAGATGGGTGATTGGGGGTGTCCTGGCTCTATGGGACCAAGGAGAGGGCGTACCTACAAGGGTTGACGTTCCTCTTCCTGCCCCAGCTCCAGCGGAACATCTTGGCCTCGAACCCCCGGGTGACCCGCTTCCATATCAACTGGGACAACAACATGGACAGGCTGGAGGCCATAGAGACCCAGGACCCCTCCCTGGGCTGCGGCCTCCCACTCAACTGCACTCCTATCAAGGGCTTGGGGCTCCCTGGCTGCATCCCTGGCCTCCTCCCTGAGAACTCCATGGACTGCATCTAACTGCAGGAACCCAGAGTGTCCCAGCACGCCGGGAGGGGCAACCAGGCCTCCCAGCGAGTCCTGCAGGGCCCATCTAGAGGACTTTGGGGGCCATCAGCTGCAATCCAGGTCTGTCAAACTCAGCCCCTAGGAAAGAACAGGCCTTGGGTCTCCCCTAGTCCTGGCCAGAAGGATGATCTCGCTTTTCCTCTACAGGCCTATAAGAAGCAGGTACTTCAGTTCTAAATTCTGACTTGTGTTCTTTTCGTCTTCATAAATTCTAACTAAGGCCACTGTGCCACTGTGCACCCTTGAGTACCATTGATCCAAAGCTTTCCCACAGACCTCCCTGGCCCACCTAGAGGCTTTCTTGGTCAGTGCCTGTCAAGGCTCCAGTCCTGCTGAGCCAAAGGCTTTGTCATTCCTTTCTCTTCCTGTACATCTGAGCAGACCCACTCCAGCTTTCTGGTGTCACAGGCGGGAATGTTAGTTAGTAGGTAGACTTAGATCCCATTTCTGTCCTGCTCCCAGGAAGATTCTTAGGTCCTCTTCAATCCAGCAGCCCCTCCCAGAGGTGTGATCAGCAGGATGCTGAGGAACCATGTTGCCTTTCCTGTCAATCACAGCCACCTTCCTGTTATCTCCTAAATGGATCTGGCTTTTCCTGGAGGCTGCCATGGTTGGAAGATGGTATCAGAGGGCCTGCCTGGGCAGTCTGTCTCCGGGCCAGGGTCAGGGACCCTCTGCCTCTGGCAGCCTTAACCTGTCCTCTGCTAGGACCAGGGTGATTTCAAGCCAGGGAAGCAACTGGGACCCTGAAAACTGTCCCTCCCCAGCCCGCTCCCCCTCTCTGTGCCCTGGTCCCCTTGCTGCCATGTGGATGCTGTTGTGATTGCTGTTTGTATATTATCAAAATGTTTTTATATTAAAAATGTTTGGTCTGAAAATTAAAAGCACTTCATTTAGAATGATTGTTTGTGCTTTTGTCTCTGGTGGACTGAAGCAACTTTGTCCACTCTCCCCCAGAAGTGGCCTCTTGCCCTGTCCAGTGGGTTGGCTGTCCCACGTCTTCTTTCCAGCTTCCTACTCCAGTCTTAATTGGTTCTACAGTTGTATTCCAGACTGAGGTTCCAGGAGGGGTTTTTCTTTGTCAAAACTTAAACCAGCTGTCCTGCAGATAGATTATAATGAGTGATTTTTCAGACTTTGCCCTTGACCCACAGGAAATTAACATCGTGATCCCAACACACAAACAGCAATGCTTTTATTAAATTTTACTAAACCTTACCATGTATCTATCCATCCAGAGGCGGAGTGGTCAGCCATTTCCCCATAGTTCACAGAAAGGCTCTGACTCTCCCTCCCTGGAACTGTGGTTGATCTGGGAACATGGGGGCAGACAGCAGCTGGAGAAGGTGGAGGCTATTCAAGTCGAAGCAGCAGATCGGCTTGTAGTTAAGCCCAGCTAGCCCTTCCGAGTCGGGGTGACCTGGCTTCTCCCCTCCCCTGACCCTCTCTTAAGTGCTTCTCAATCAGGAGCAGTTCGGCCCCGCAAGAGCACATTCACCAATGTCAGGAGACAGCGGTTGCCACAGCCAGCAGGAAGATAGAGGAGGGGCTACTGGCATCCAGTGGGTAGAGGCGGGGGATGTTGCTCAACACCCAGTGGTGCACAAGACACCCCCCAGCAGAAAATGATCCAGCCTCACCGTCAGTAGTGTCGCAGTTGGGAAACCCCGACTGTCCTCTGCTAAGTGTGTACTGAAAGAGGATCCTGAAGGAAGGGGCAGGTTCCCTTCGCATTGCCCAGACAGGAAATACAGACGGGGAACAGGAGCAGGGAATCTGCCTGGCTGTACCCCAGATTCCTCATCTGTGCAATGGGAGTGATGATGGTAGCACCTACGCGATGGGAGTGTGGTGCGAAGGAGCGTTAAGTGGGTGCCAGCTCTTACTACTGGCAGGAGCCCAGGGCTAGGGCCCAGCAAAGGGGTGGACACTGAGCGCCCCTTCCCAGCCACCCCTTGCGCCGGGCCCGGCATCCTCCTGAGTGCGGCTGGGAAAACCCAGGAGGCCCCGCGGCCTGGCCCCCAAGCAGGCCTGGCCTCGGCCGCCCAGCGCCAGGCCTTATGAATGACGCCGGCGGCGGCCGGGCGACCTCTGACCCGCGCGCCGGCCGCGCCCCTCCCCCGCTGGCAGGTGGACAGCGGCTGCGCCGGGCAGGCCGCGGCGCCAACTCCGGCTGGCCGACAGCCGCTGCCGCACTGAGCGGGGGCGGGGGACTGCGGCGCGCGCGGGGCCGGCCGGGCGCCCGCCGGGGCCGCCTCCTGAGCCTCGGAGCGCTGCGCGGCCGCCAGCCAGCCTCCGCCGCCCCGCCCCGCCGGCCCGGGCCCGCAGACTGCGTCTCCGCCCCGCCCTCTCACCCCCGGATTGACACTGAGCGTTCTGCTGGGGGGCTTGGCGGACCCGGCACCTCCGCCAATCGGCGGCCTCGCAGGGCGGACCCCGGGCCCAGTCCAGCGTCTCGGCCAATCGGACGCGTCTGCCCGCCCAGCTGCGGCCTCGCGAGCGAGTGAATGGCCGAGAGTCCGCGGTGCGTGTCCCGAGGCTGAGAGCCTATAGTGGCGCGGGAAGGTCGCGGGAGGGCCAATGGGAGGCGGCGCTGAGCCGTCAGTCAGGGCGGCCTAGGCCAATGAGCGGCGGGCTGCGGGGGCGTCACAGACAGCGGCAGAGATCTTGGGCTGAGGTTCCCGGGCGGGCGGGCGCGGAGAGACGCGGGAAGCAGGGGCTGGGCGGGGGTCGCGGCGCCGCAGCTAGCGCAGCCAGCCCGAGGGCCGCCGCCGCCGCCGCCCAGCGCGCTCCGGGGCCGCCGGCCGCAGCCAGCACCCGCCGCGCCGCAGCTCCGGGACCGGCCCCGGCCGCCGCCGCCGCGATGGGCAACGCCGCCGCCGCCAAGAAGGGCAGCGAGCAGGAGAGCGGTGAGTGCCCGGGCTGTGACCCCGATCTTGGCCCTGCGCTGCCAGCCCTGGCCTTGTCCATCATCGCCTGGCCCCTCCCCCTACGGGGCCCCTCATCCTCTCTGCCTACCCCCCAGCGCCCCTTGCCCCGGCCTGTCCAAGGCTGGGGCCCGCGGGCCCGCAGAGTACCCCCTGTAGGGGTCCCCTTCCCCTAGGGCCGCCCCATGCTGCAAAGACCGTGCTCCCCCCCAGCTGTCACTGCCAACCATGGCACGTATGACCGCTGGGGCCCCACATGGGCCCCTGTCACCAGCCTACCCCCTCCTTTCCTGGCCCCTCTTCCCAGATTCTAATCCCCCCACTTCCTCACTCACCTCTCTCACCTATGGGATCCTCTGCCTGACCCCGACCCAGGTTTCTACCAGTTTGGGAATGCGATGAGGTCTGTCTGCCTCCACCGCGCAGGGACCTTGGCCACTTGCTGACCACACCCCTCCCCCCTCCAGCCCCCGCCATCTTTCTCCTGCCCTTTCCCTCTTCACCTTAGCACAGCCCCCCCTTCCAAACCCATCCTGCCCCCTGAACATTTCCCAGAGCCACCTCCAGCATTATTTTTTTCTTCTGTGTCACTTGGCATGGGGGACAGGATCTTTCTGGGTCCCTCTGCCTCTCTCATCCTGTCACTCTGTCATTCTGCTGCTCTGCTTGTGCTCCGTCCTCCAAGCAAGCGTCTGTCCCTGGCTGGGGTAGCAGACTGTTTATGAACGTAGAGAATTGCTTCAGTGCTTCCAAAGCCAAGTTTGAGCTGGTCTTGTTGGGATTCATTGCATCCTCTTTCCTGCGTTGGGGTAAGGGGGTGGTGGCAGAGCCCCCTCTCATTTCCTGTCTTGCAGTGAGCTCTAGGCTCCATGGAGGGCCCCTCAATAAATGGTCGTTTCACAACTGAGGCTCCGTCATTCACCCAGTCCCTGGGGCTTCTTCCACCACTCCTGGCTTGGGATGAAAAGTGTCTGGGTTTAGCGAGGTTCATTCGGTTCTAACTGAGATGGTCAGAAAGAGCACTGGGGAGGAGGAGGCAGTCAAAGAGAGTAATGGGTGACGTCTAGTGATTTGCTTTGACGTCTAGTGATTCTGATCATTCCCAGGGCTCAGCCAGAGAGAGACCTGTTTCACCCACTTGCCCACACATTAGGTTGGTCTTTTCCAGCCAGCCAGAGAAAGAGATTCTCTATCTGGAAATACCATCAGAAATGGTCTTGAACCCCATTCCCAATTTTTACAGCTCTTAAATTGTTGTCACTCCAGTCTGAAAGCTGGAAGGCAGCTGGGATCCCCTGTCCACTTACCCAGAAATAGTCGGAACTATTGGTCGAAAAGGAAGGCCAGTTTTTGGTCTCAAACCCCAGCATCTGAGTTTCCTGAATGCCCCCTCCCAGAAAGGTATGAAAGCCAGGGAACTTTATTCCCATACGGATTCAAATAGCAGAACTCAGAGTCACAGAGCGATCATGAAGAGGCCTGACATGTCACCAATGGGTGGGGGCTGGGGAGGGAAATGCCTGTAGCTGAGTGCCTGATGACAGAGGAGCAGGTGGGTAGTGTCCAAAAAAGGTCTGGGCATGAGCTTGGAGGGGACTTGGCCGGGGGGGGAGGAGTCAGGCCCCCAGCAGGTGAGGCCAGCTGGGAGGTGGAAGGTAGAGGCAGGCAGCTATATATTGCGGTAGCTCAGTTGAAAGTTGGGGAGATGACAGTCCTGGAAAACCTTCAAGGCTATCAGACACATGTGGTGGGGGGTGGAAAGCCACACAAGAAAAAGGATCCCAAGAAAAAGATCAGAGGCTCTGGAAGGAACCACTGATTCTCTCAGAGCACAGGTCAGACACCCAGGAATGAATGATCATGGTAAAATAGAGCTACTATTTATTGGGCATCTAGGCTGTGCCACAGGCTAAATGGCCAGGCGGATAGAGATACCTACTCTGGTGACTTTCATAACGGGCTGTTATCCAAATTTTCCAAAGGAGCCCTCTGGTAGAAATGACATCCATGACATAGATGATGTCACAGAGGCAGGATTCACATCCAGATCCATCTACCAGCAAACTTCTTGGACCCCAGAATTCCCCGACTTTGACATTTTTCAGCAGCCTCCCAGATTTTTACTCTATCATATTTTCTTAATTTAAAATAATAAAAGTTTTACTCACTTGTGTTCAGATGTAAACTTGGAGCTCATTCTAAACAATAATATAAATGAAATCATGGGATTGCCATGCCAGTTATATTTTCTCTGATACGCATTAAATACAGTGTAACTAGATAAATGAAACATCCCGAAAATCATGTCATGTTCTGCCAATGGGACTATGTCACACGTTGAGAAACGCCCGAAGCTGTACTTCCTCCCAGAGGCTCCCAGAGAAGGAAATAAGATGAGGAAGGAAGTCCCTCTTTGCTTTGAGGCGCTCTGATTCTGAGAGGATGGAGTTAGACAAAATTTGCCCTCTTAGAAGGGTGGGGCAGGGGCAGGGGCAGTAGCCAGGCCAGCCTGCAGGGGGCACCTGGATTTCATCTGCCAGACGCCGGCCCGACTGGGGTCAGGAAAATGCCCAGGCCTTGGGAGGCACCAGTTAAGCATCCTGCAGTCCCCTGTGGTACCATCTCTGTGCCAGGGCAGGACAGAGTCCGCCTCCTCCCAAGAGGCCAGGGATCCAGAATGAACCCTGGAGTGGAGTTGGGGGAATCTACACCCAAAGATGGCAAAGCCATTGGGAGAGCTGAGAGGGCCAAGAAAAAAGACTAAGGCCCAGGCTCTGGCCAAGTTGGAAGAATGGAGAGGGAGCAGCGGCCCCAGGGGGCAGGCGCCCAGGTCAGACAGCCAAGTGGGGCTCAGGTCGTGGCTGGCACTGGCTGAAGATACCCCTGGGAGCTGGCCCACAGGGGAAGGGGCAGAGCTAGTAAAAGGGAGCCCCCGATCCCCAGGACACAAGCAGATCCTGGCAAAGAGAGAAAAGCACCCCCCAAGAAGACCCTAGATGGGAAGAACTAGTGCCGTGTAACATCCTATGGATGCCTAAGACGGCCAAACACCTTCTGTGCCTTGGCAGTTGTATGGGTGCCCAAGAGGTCTTATCAAGGCAGCTCTCCCCTTAGCGCAACCGCGTCTACAGAAACTCGGAGGGCCCTATCTGTCCCTCCTCCACACCCAGTGGCCTCTGGGTTGGGTTTCTCTTCCTGCTCCCACCCCACGGCTCCCTAGCTCCCCCTGCAGGCAGGGTTCTGGGGACAGACAGCCGAACAGACACGGCAGGTCTCATGAGCCTTCCCAGCCACCGTAGTGCCGGTGCCCTGAGAACAGGACTGAGTGATGGCTTCCAACTCCAGCGATGGTGAGGCTGAGTCCTGTTACTATAGCAACTTCCTAGGCACACTCTGCCCCTTAAGTCAGGGAGGGGCTGCAGCGGGGTCTGGGGCACAGGCGAAGAGAAGAAGGATGTGAACCCCTGGCTGGCCCTGGAAACGCCTCCTGTACAGCCCCGGGCTGTGCGGCCTGGGGAAGAGAGAGGGGATCGGTGGCCCAGTTCAGACAAGGGAGGATGGTCCACCCGGCAGGGGGCCAGCTCAGAGAGGGGTGGTGGAGTGGTCCATCCCAGTGTTGGGGTTCAGCTCAGACTGTAGGATGAGCCATCCCAGTGTTGGGGTCCAGCTCAGAATGGGGGTCGTTCCAGCCAGTGTTGGGGTCCAGCTCAGAGTTGTGTCATTTAGGTAAGCCCAGAGCAGGGAATCCAGGCTCCACTGGAGGAATCAGCCAGCCTCGAGTAGGGGGCCCAGCCCAGGCTGGGCATTCCTGCCCCAGAATTCCCAGGACAGCCAGATTTCAAAAGGGCAGAAGGTCTGAGATTGTTGTCCGGAGGAAGGGGGTTCTGTGGCTGGGCTCCTTCCGAGAGAGACCCCAAGCCCCTTGCCCAAATTGATATTCTGCTGTTGCAATTCCCCATTCCCAGGGCGAGTTTCTAGATTTCTGCTTTCTGCTGTGGTCCTGGCTTTTCAAGGGGTGTCAAGGAGTTTTCCCTATGAACCCAAATGGAATCTGGACCAGAGTGAGAGCTGGCACCCCCCGTGTGGGAGATGTGGGCAGGGCGGCAGGCTGTACAGGCCAGCAGCTGGCTGGGTTACCATCCTCTGCCACTTCCTGTTGCTAGCAGGGGTCCTGGATGCCGGGCACACTCAAAGAGGCTGCCACTGACCCTCTGCTTCTTTTGGGATCTGGAAAGAAGGAGGAAGATGGTCAAGGCTGCCTCCCCCTCCCCCACCCCTGGGTTTAGCCGCTCGTTTCCGGTTTGGACTTTCATGGCCGAGAGTAGAGCCAAGCACAGGGCAAGGTTTGAGAGAGGCCAAGGACATCCCGGGATGCCTTTCCCCTCTCCACCCCCGCATAGGAGCAAAACAAAAGAGTCAGATATACCCATTTTCTCTCTCAGGATAGCAGGATTTGGGGGTTCCACATTGAAAGGGAGTTCAGGGGAGGAGGCAGGGTGGCTCTTGTCGCCCCCCGCCCCAAGCCTTTCTCTCCAGCTGTTCTTTCAGCGAATTAAGGGAGCTCTGGGGCCTCTTTAGCCCCTAAGGAGTCTCTGGCTGTTGCCTGATCCTGAACCTTAACTCTTTCCCCTCTGCCCAGTGGGCACTGCTCTGGGCACATCAGGCGCTGTCCTCTGCACAGTCCAGTGCCCACTGAGGAAGGCAGGGCCTGGCGTCCTGGGAGCAGTGAAGTCCGTGGAAAGGGAAGTTAGTTTTATCGCCCCGCCCTGGGGCACGCAGGCCAGCCAGAGGGACACCCTCGGGAGAATCTTCCCATTGCCTCCTGCCAAGGGAGCCCTCTGCAAACCTTGGCTAGCTTGGAGCAGGTACCTTTAAAAGCTTCTGTGGCAACCAGCTCCTCCTCCCTGGTCCCCTGAGGCCATCCCAAGGAAGCTGACTTAGAGGCTCTGCGTTTTCCTGGTTTCTCAGCAAAAGGAAGATTCCAGGGAGAGCCCAAGGGGGCTGGGGATGGATCTGGGATCAGGCAGCAGCCAGGGTGGGGACTTGGAGACCACCTTCCAGCTGTGGCTGCAGCTGCTCCTCTGGGCCCACCTGGCTGTACGTTTCCTGGGCTACCTGCACCGCACCTTCCGGGGGCCTAAGCCACAGCCAGCACCCTGAGCCTCCCTGGCCAGGGGGCAGAAGGCCGCCAGATCACCCCATCCCACCCACCCTTTATTCTACCCTTTCCTGGAAGAGACAGGAAGCAGAGGTGAGTGTGGGGCCTCTTGATTGAGGTTACCTGCCCCTCCCCCCCATCATCCCTCTCTCTGCCTGCTCCTCCTGGCACTGGCCTCCCCCATGCCCCATCCCCAAATCTGACAAGCTAACAGGGCTAGTGGCACCAGAGGGGACAGAGCCTGGGCGCTCTGGTCCTTTGAGAGGCCAGAGAAGGGCCATGCTAACAGCAAGGCACCCTGTGGAGCGACTCTGTGGGGCACCAGCGGACAGCCAGGGGCTGGGAGCTCAGCGAGTCGGGGAGGTGCAGGATTCAGCAATTCTTTCCTTTTTGCTAAGAGCAAAGGGAAAACGGACCAGACCTTTTGGATTCCCTTCAAGCCTGGCACCTCTCTGCCTTCTTGTGTGGGTGAAGGTAGAATCCCAAGAGGGCACCCTCCACCCTCCCCACCCACTGCTGAATTCTGTGTGGATTATTTGGAGGTTTCCAAGGAAGATGTTTTCTGTCACAAAGGTTCTATGACTGAAGCCAGGCACAGTGGCTCATGCCCGTAATCCCAGCACTTTGGGAGACTAAGGTGGGGGAATCCATTGAGGCCAGAAGTTGGAGACCAGCCTGGGCAACATAGCAAGACCCCATCTCAAAACAAAATAAAACACTCAAACAAAGGTTCTGCTAGTGAAAGTGTTGGATTTGGTGTGACCCCCAGGCTCAGGCCCCTGGGCTAGTTGGTGGCCCAGCCAGGCACCCATCTAGGACTCCTGGCCATTCATTGCCTATCCCCTCTCCGCCTGGTCATTTATTGTGGGGCCTTCTTGGCCACGGTCTCTCTCCATCTGCCATCTACCACTTTCTTTTTTTTTTTTTTGAGACAGAGTTTCACTCTTGTTGTCCAGGCTGGAGTGCAATGGCGCGATCTGAGCCCACTGCAACCTCTGCCTCCCGGGTTCAAGCAATTCTCCTGCCTCAGCCTCCTGAGTAGCTGGGATTACAGGCATGTGCCACCACGCCCAGCTAATTTTGTATTTTTAGTAGAGACAGGGTTTCTCCATGTTGGTCAGGCTGGTCTCAAACTCCCAACCTCAGGTGATCTGCCTGTCTCAGCCTCCCAAAGTGCTGGGATTACAGGCGTGAGCCACTGCACCCAGCCACCATCTACCACTTTCTAGCTCCATGAGGGCTCTTCTCTCTGAATGCTGAGGGAAAGCTCTGGAGACAGGTAGTGGGGGTGGCTCCCCACAAGGCCATGTGGGATTACTGGCAGGCAGATAACCAGCAATGCCAAAGGGCAAGTGTACAGGGCCCCTCGGTGGCAGCAAACCCAGGAACATCAGGGGGTTGAAGGCAGCTCTGTCCACATTGGCCACCCTGGTGCACTGGACTCAGCACTGAAACCAATGGCTGAGTTGGCAGTGAAGTAGTTAATCTCATGGGATGTGGGGGCAGGCAAGTGACCTCAGACCTGATCAGTCTTCTCCTCTGTACAGTGGGAATAACAGCAGCTCCCACCCCACAGGGTGAGAACGAAGCATAGAAAATACTCAGCAAGGGGCTGGTCCCTTGTAGCCCTAGGTGGTGGTTAAAAGGACAAGTCCATAATGCAAGAATCTGTCAGGCTGCGCATTTAAGATTTGAGCACTCAGTGTATCTCCTATATTTGTTTTTGGGGTTTTTTTATTATTACTTTTTTTTTTGAGACAGGGCCTCACTCTGTCACCCAGCCTGCAGTGTAATGGCTCAGTCACGGCTCACTGCAGGCTCTATGTCCCGGGCTTGAACAATCCTCCCACCTCTGCCTCCTGAGTAGCTGGGACTACAGGTGCATACCACCACACCTGGCTAATGTTTTTATTTTTTGTAGAGGGTTTTGATGTTGTCCAGGCTGGTCTCGAATTCCTGTATTCAAGCAATCCCCCCAACTCGGCCTCCCAGAGTATTATTATTTTTTTGAGAAAGAGTCTCACTCTTGCTCAGGCTGGAGTGTAGTGGTGTGATCATAGCTCACTGCAACCTCAATCTCCTGGGCTTTAAGCAATCTTCCTGCCTCAGCCTCCTGCTTAGCTGAAACTGCGGGCATGGGCCACTATGCTCAGCTAATTTTTTAATTGTTTTATTTTTTGTAGAGATTGGGTCTTGCTATGTTGCCAAGGCTGGTCTCTAATTCCAGGCCTCAAGCGATCCTCCAACCTCGGCCTTCTAAAGCACTGGGATTACAGGCATGAGCCACCGTTCCCGGCTCTCCCTATGTGTGTGTGTGTGTGTGTGTATATATATATATATATATATATATATATATATATTTTTTTTTTTTTTTTTTTTTTTTTTTTTGAGACAGAGTCTCACTCTGTCGCCTAGGCTGGAGTGCAGTGGCATGATCTCAGCTCACTGTAACCTCTGCCTCCCAAGTTCAAGAGATTTTCCTGCCCCAGCCTCCCAAATAGCTGGGATTACAGGCATGCGCCACCGTGCCCAGCTAATTTTTGTATTTTTAGTAGAGACGGGGTTTCACCATGTTGGCCAGGCTGGTTTCAAACTCCTGACCTCAAGTGATCTGCCTGCCTCGGCCTCCCAAAGTGCTGGGATTATAGACGTGAGCCACCATGCCCGATCGCTCCCCATATTTTCTTTTCTTTTTTCTTTTTTTTTTCTTAGACGAGTCTTGCTCTGTCACCCAGGCTGGAGTGCAGTGGTGCAATCTCGGCTCACTGCAACCTCAGTCTCCCGGATTCAAGCAATTCTCCTGCCTCAGCCTCCCAGGTAGCTAGGATTACAGGCACACATCACCACCACGCCTGGCTAATTTTTTTGTTTTGTTTTGGAGACAGAGTCTCGCCCCGTCGCCTAGGCTGGAGTGCAATGGCATGATCTCAGCTCACTGCAACTTCTGCCTCCCGGGTCGAAGCGATTCTCCTGCCACCATGCCCGGCTGATTTTTTTGTACTTTTAGTAGAAACGGGGTTTTACCATGTTGACCACGCTGGTCTTGAACTCCTGACCTCAAGTGATCTACCCGCCTTGGCCTCCCAAAGTGCTGGGATTATAGGTGTGACCCACCGTGCCTGGCCTCATTTTTTTATTTTTAGTAGAGATGGGGTTTCGCCATGTTGGCCAGGCTGGTCTCGAACTCCTGACCTTGTGATCCACCCACCTTGGCCTCCCAGAGTGCTGGGATTACAGACGTCAGCCACCTCACCCAGCCTCTCTCCCCATATTTTATACCTCAATTTAGAAAATAATAGGCTGGGCACGGTGGCTCATGCCTGTAATCCCAGCACTTTGGGAGGCCAAGGTGGGCAGATCACCTGAGGTCAGGAGTTCGAGACCAGCCTAGCCAACATGGCAAAACCCTGTCTCTACTAAACATACCAAAATTAGCTGGGCGTGGTGGCAGGTGTCTGTAATCCCAGCTACTCAGGAGGCTGAGGCAGGAGAATCATCTGAACCTGGGAGGCGGAGGTTGCAGTGAGCTGAGATTGTGCCACTGCACTCCAGCCTGGGCAACAAAGTGGGACTCCATCTCAAAAAAAAAAATAATAATAATTAAAAAAAATAAATTGGCCGGGCATGGTGGCTCACGCCTGTAATCCCAGCACTTTGGGAGGCCGAGGCGGGTGGATCACGAGGTCAGGAGATCGAGACCATCCTGGCTAACACGGTGAAACCCCGTCTCCACTAAAAAAAATACAAAAAATTCTCTGGGCGTGGTGGCAGGCGTCTGTAGTCCCAGCTACTCAGGAGGCTGAGGCAGGAGAATGGCGTGAGCACGGGAGGCGGAGCTTGCAGTGAGCGGAGATTGCGCCACTGCATTCCAGCCTGGGCGACAGAGGGAGACTCCGTCTCAATCAATCAATCAATCAATCAGTCAATAGATAGATAAATAAAAAATAATAATAGCTGACATTTATCTGGCACTATCATCACACGGGGCCACTGTTCAACTCCCTTTGTCAAGATGAACTCATTCATTCCTCAAAACCACCCCACTTTACAGATGAGGAAAACTGAGGCCTAGAGAGGTGAGATCAGTTACCCAAAGTCACAGAGTTCATCAGAGACCAGGCTGGGCTCTGAACTGGATCTTGACCCCAAGTCCTGGCCCTTAGCCACTTTGCTGGGCTGTGTCTCAGCAGAGACGAGAATGACTGTTTTCAAGCCTGTTTCCTGGGTTGTTAAGTGGAGACAATGGATACAAGGCAGGTTGCCGAGTGAGTCAGATGAGACAGTGTAGACAGCAGCCGGCACAGGGTCTGCCGGGGAAGTTTCAACATTAGCCAGGCGGTGATGTTCACCTTGGGATACCATGGGGCCGAGGAGTGGGCATCGGGCGAGACTTCCCTTGAACCAGCTCTGGAGCAATGCCCTTGCGATTGCCACGGAGAGGAACAGGGCCAGCTGGGGGCCAAGGTGACAGCTGAGCCCCCCAAGGGCACCTGCTACCCGAGCCCCCGAGGCCTCCATCCCAGGCCCGGCCTCCCCAGAGAAGGGGCCAGAGGAACAGCCAAATCCCAAGGCTATAAATACCTCGGCTGGCGTCGGCCCTGGCCATGGAATGTCGGTCAGAACTGGGGCGAGTGGGGGTGGGCTGGTCTGCCTGGGCACCTCCCTCCGTTCCCCTGCGAGTGACCCCTGAGACTCTCTGTACCCCACTTTGGATGGAGTGGCAGCTGGATCCCACCTCTCTGTAGCAAGGGAGGCCCAGGCCACGGCCCAGCCAAGGCCCCAGAGGCACCAGAAAAAGGTCAGGCTCTGGGTTGGAACTGCACCCCACTTTCCACCAAGTATCTCCCCAGAAATCACCTGAACCCACCCCGGTGAGACGGGCGTCTCTGTATAACTCTCCCCTCTCTCCCTTTCAGTGAAAGAATTCTTAGCCAAAGCCAAAGAAGATTTTCTTAAAAAATGGGAAAGTCCCGCTCAGGTAAGGCTGCCGGGTGCAGAGCCCAGGGAGGGGTGAGCTGCTAACCCCCAGCCCCTGGCTGTGTCCCAGCAACACAGCTAGAATTTCAGAAACCCCATAGAAGGCTTCAGACCCTCCCCATTTGCTCCCTAGGTGCCCATGGGGGCTCCTGTGTGGAGACACCTGACTGCCCAATGCCAGGCACCCCCATCCCACCACCCCTCCCAACGGCCCGCCCCTGCCCCCAGCACAGCTGCCAGCAGCTTCCAGGCCCCAGGCCAGGGCCGGATCTGGCCCCTGCCACCCGCCTTAAGGAATGTGCCCTCTGCCATCTTGATTTTCCGCCCCCTGTCCTCACCCCGCTGACCCCACGTGCTCCCCGGGGCCCCCTCTGCCGGTGGCAGAGGGGATGCCCCAGACCTTAGCCAAGCAGGCCGCGGGGAGGGCGTGCCCTGAGCCTACCGACCCCTCTGCCCACAGAACACAGCCCACTTGGATCAGTTTGAACGAATCAAGACCCTCGGCACGGGCTCCTTCGGGCGGGTGATGCTGGTGAAACACAAGGAGACCGGGAACCACTATGCCATGAAGATCCTCGACAAACAGAAGGTGAGGTGGCCTGTCCTCGCTCAGGGCCTGCCTGTCAGGCCTTTGCCTGGACTGTGCCCACTCCTTAGAGTGCCCTATCCACCCGTTCACTCACTTGCTTTTTTTTGATTCAGAGTCTCGCTCTGTCGCTCAGGCTGGAGTACAGTGGCGTGATCTCGGCTCACTGCAACCTCCACCTCCCTAGTTCAAGCGATTCTCCTGCCTCAGCCTCCCGAGTAGCTGGGATTACAGGCGCCTGCCACCACACCCAGCTAATTTTTGTATTTTTAGTAGAGATGGGTTTTCGCCATGTTGGCCAGGATGGTTTCGAATTCCTGACCTCAGGTGATACACCTGCCTCAGCCTCCCAAAGTGCTGGGATTACAGGCGTGAGCCACCGCGCCTGGCCGCTTGGTTTTTTTGTGGGGGACAGGATCCTGCTCTGTTGCCCAAGCAGGAAAGTGCAGTGACGTGATCATAGCTCACTGTAGCCTCAAACTCCTGAGCTCAAGAGATCCTCCTGAGTAGCTGGGACTACAAGCGCACACTACCATGCCTGGCTAATTTTTTTTTGTTGTTTGTTTGTTTTTTGTTTTAGACAGGGGGTCTTGCTGTGTTGCCCAGGCTGGTCTTGAACTCCTGGCCTCAAGTGATCTCCTACTTCAGCCTCCCAAAGCACAGGGATTACAGGCATGAGCCACCATGCCAGGCTCACCCACTATTCCCCGAGCCCCCATAATGTGCCAGCCCCAGGGGTCAGAAGGGCCCTGTGCCGCCTTCCCAAAGCTCCCTCTCCAGGCCGGCCATGGATTCAAAGCCAGGCACTGTGACACAGGGTCAGACACCAGCCCAACAGGAGGAGAACAAGAGCACTCTTGGGGGAAGTGGTGTTTATGTGCACTTTCTTCCCGTAAATATTTTTGTGATCGGACTTTATACCAGGCACTGCTATAAAGCAGCAATGTAACTAGCAGAAATGTAACCTGAGCCACAGAAGCAATTTTAAATTTTCTGTTTGCTCCATCATAAACAGTAAAAACAGCCAAGCACGGTGGCGCACGCCTGTAGTCCCAGCTACTAGACAGGCTGAGGTGGGAGGATCACTTGAACCCAGGAGTTCAACTCCAGCCTCGACAACACAGCCAGACCCCATCTCTAAAAAAACACCCAAAGTTTGTAATTAAAAGAGAAAATGAAAGAAACAGGTGTCATTCATGAAATTCATTTTAATGACATGTTTGGGGCTTTTTTTTATGTTTTTTTTTTTTTGAGACAGAGTCTCACTCTTGTCGCCCAGGCTGGACTGCAGTGGCGTGATCTCAGCTCACTGCAACCTCCACCTCCCAGGTTCAAGTGATTCTCCTGCCTCAGCTTCCCAAGTAGCTGGGATTATGGGTGCCACCACCACGCCCAGCTAACTTTTGTATTTTTAGTAGACTTGGGGTTTCACCATGTTGGTCAGGTTGGTCTCGAACTCCTGACCTCAGGTAATCCGCCCGCCTCAGCCTTCCAAAGTGCTGGGATTACAGATGTGAGCCACCACACCTGGCCTAATGATATGTTTTAATTAAGCCAGTATATCTACAGTATTACCCTTTCCATATATTATCAATGTGAAAATATCATTAATGAAACATTTTACATTCCTTTTGTTTTTTTCCCAGTCCTCCATGACTTCGGAAATATTTCCTTTTTTTCTGTACTGAAGTATCTTTAAAATCCAGTGTCTATTGTATGCTTACAACAGTTCTCAACTCTGATGGTAAATTTTTCCTGGAAAGATAAGAAAAAGCAGGGAAGTTGAAAAAGCAGATTCACATGCCCAAGTTGTTCCAACCATGCCTGAAAGTCACCAGTACCTGCATCAAGAGTTTAATTTTTGTTTTGTTTTGTTTTGTTTTGTTTTTGAGATGGAGTTTCGCTCTTGTTGCCCAGGCTGGAGTGCAATGGCATGATCTCAGCTCACTACAACCTCTGCCTCCGGGTTTCAAGCGATTCTTGTGCTCCAGCCTCCTGAGTAGCTGGAATTACAGGCGCCGGCTACCACGCCCAGCTAATTTTTTAATTTTTTTTTTTTTTTTTTTTGAGATGGAGTCTCGCTCTGTCGCTCAGGCTGGAGTGCAGTGGCACGATCTTGGCTCACTGCAACCTCTGCCTCCCGGGTTCACGCCATTCTTCTGCCTCAGCCTCCTGAGTAGCTGGGACTACAGGCGCCCACCACCACGCCTGGCTAATTTTTTGTATTTTTAGTAGAGATGGGGTTTCACCGTGTTAGCCAGGATGGTCTCCATCTCCTGACCTTGTAATCCACCGGCCTCGGCCTCCCAAAGTGCTGGGATTACAGGCGTGAGCCACCACACCTGGCCAGTTTTTAAATATTTTTAGTAGAGACAGGGTTTCACCATTTTGGCCTGGCTGGTTGTTGTTTTTTTTTTTTTTTTTTTGAGACGGAGTCTCGCTCTGCCACCCAGGCTGGACTGCAGTGGTGTGATCTCAGCTCACTGCCAGCTCCACCTCCCGGGTTCATGCCATTCTCCTGCCTCAGCCTCCCGAGTAGCAGGGACTACAGGCGCCCGCCACCACACCCGGCTAATTTTTTGTGTTTTTAGTAGAGACGGGGTTTCACCATGTTAGCCAGGATGGTCTCGATCTCCTGACCTCGTGATCCACCTGCCTCGGCCTCTCAAAGTGCTGGGATTACAGGCGTGAGCCACCGTACCCGGCCTGGTTGTTTTGTTTTTGAGACAGGGTCTTGCTCTGTTGCCCAGGCTGAAGTGCAGTTGGGCTCAAATGATCCTCCCACCTCAGCCTCTGGAGCTGCTGGGACCATAGTCGTGCCATGCCCAGCTAATTGCTTTTGTTGTCCTTGTTGTTGTTTGTAGAGATGGGGTCTCGCTACATTGCCCAGGCTAGTCTCAAACTCCTGGGCTCAAGCGATTTACCTGCCTGGGCCTCCCAAAGTGCTGGGATTACGGGCGTGAGCCACCATGCCCAGCTGGTGTCAGTTTTTTAATTTATATTTTAGATACTTAAAATTTTTGAATTTGGCTCCCCATCCGACCAGCCATATTTCAAGGGCCCAGCATCCCCCTGTGGCTAATGGGGACTGAACTGGGTAGGGCAGGTATAGACTCTGAGGACACAGCTATGTGAGCAAAGCAGTTGACAGCTGACTGAGGGACCAGGCTGGCCACATGTTACACACCAGCCTGACATCAGCCAGCTGTGTGACCTTGGACAAGTCACCTCCCCTCTGTGTCTGGTCTTCCAAACTGGCGTACTCCCAGCATGGGCCTCTAGGGCTTCTATCCTGATTCAGTGAGAGACTGGGTGCCAGGTGCCTGCTCATGGCATCTGCTATTAGGGGACAGCTGATGGCTGAGGAGCTGTTAGCCTGAGGTTCAGGTTGCTGTGTGGAGTGTTCTAGACAAGGGTAAGGCAGGTCCTAAACCCCCCACCTCTTGGGCTTCTCCTGCCTGTCTTTTCAATTTCAGTTCAGCTGCCCCTTCCTCCAGAAAGCGCTGTCTGATTCCCCCTTCCCCAGACCACGCCAGGTACTTTACATGGGCTTCTTGGGGGCTGCTTCTCCACAACCCCAAGATACCCTCCACCACGGCTCTGACCTCTGTGGGGGTAACCCATGTATTCTTTGCCCTGGACTTAGTGCCGTGCAAGGACAAGCAGCCCCTAGCCTCCCTGATGCTGTGTCCTCAGCATCAGCTAAGGGCCCGACAGGCCACAGGCACACAAATGATTCTGGCTGAAGGAACCGGCCTGGCTCCGGCATCCCTAGTTCCAGGCATTAGGGGAAATGAGGCCCCTCTCACCTCCCCCTCCTTTCTGCCCTCCCCTCCTTCCCTTCCCAGGTGGTGAAACTGAAACAGATCGAACACACCCTGAATGAAAAGCGCATCCTGCAAGCTGTCAACTTTCCGTTCCTCGTCAAACTCGAGTTCTCCTTCAAGGTGGGGTCCCAGTGGCCAAGGGCGGGGGGTCACTGCATTGGGTCCCAGCCTTCTGGCCCCCAGGGCTGGGGTCGGAGCTGAGGACAATCAGTGGCTGCTCTCTTTTGTGGAAGAACAAGATCCCTGGAGGAGGGAGATCAGGGGACAGGAGTCAGGCTGGGACTCTGGTAGACCCAAGTTCAGTTCCTGGTCCAGCCAGTTTGTAGTTCGATACCCTTGGTGAGTCACCCAACCTCAGTAACATCCCTCAAAAGCAGCACCTGGTTTATGGTAAGAGCCTGACCCAGGAGCACAAACTCTGCCCCAGGCAGCCGGGGTTCATTTCCCAGTTCAGTACTTCTTGATGTGTGGCCCCGGGCAAGAGACTTATCTCCCCAAGCCTCAGCTTTCTCATGGTAAAATGGGGATCATACCAGTTCCAGCCTGGTGGGGTTGTCATGACAGTTCCAGGCACGTCTTGAGCGCCCTTTGGGAGCCGTTTTGGGTGCCATCCAAAGCTGTGGTCATGAGAAACAGGAAAGGCCACTCAGGGCCAGCTTCATGGACGTTTGACCCAGAGAAGCACAAGGGCCTGTTCTCCGAGGGACCCCACACCTGGTTTAACGCTTTGCTGCTGCTGCTGTCTTGAGATCCGTAATAATTTTTTTTTGTTGAGACAGAGTCTCACTCTGTTGCTCAGGCTGGAGAGCAGTGGCGCAATCTTGGCTCACTACAACCTCTGCCTCCTGGGTTCAAGCAATTCTCCTGCCTCAGCCTCCTGAGTAGCGGGGATTACAGGTGCCCACCACCATGCCCAGCTTATGTTTGTATTTTTAGTAGAGACAGGATTTTGCCATGTTGCTCAGGCTGGTCTTGAACTCCTGACCTCAAGTGATCTGCCTGCCTTGGCCTCCCAAAGTGCTGGGATTACAGGCATGAGCCACTGTGCCAAGCCTAATTTTTATTTTTTTTATTGAGACAGAGTTTGGCTGTTGTTGCCCAGGCTGGAGTGCAATGATGCGATCTCAGCTCACCACAACCTCTGACTCCTGGGTTCAAGCAATTCTTCTGCCTCAGCCTCCCGAGTAGCTGGGATTACAGGCATGTGCCATCACATCTGGCTAATTTTGTATTTTTTAGTAGAGACAGGGTTTCCCCATGTTGGTCAGGCTGGTCTTGAACTCCTGACCTCAGGTGATCTGCCTGCCTCGACCTCCCAAAGTGCTGGGATTGCAGGTGTGAGCCGTGCCCGGCCATTTTGTTTTGTTTTGTTTAAGATAAGGTCTTACCCTGTTGCCCAGGCTGGAGTGCAGTGGCGCAATTACAGCTCACAACCTTTGCCTCCCAGGCTCAAGCAATCCTCCCACCTCAGTCTCCTGAGTATGAGACTACAGGTGCACGCCATGATGCCCAGCTAATTTTTGTATTTTTGCAGAGACGGGGTCTCACTATGTTGCCCAGGCTGGTCTCAAACTCCTAGGCTCAAGTGATCCACCCACCTTGGCCTCCCAAAGTACTGGGATTATACAGGCATGAGCCACCACACCCGACCCTCTGTAATAATTTTTTAACCAGGGGCCATCTTTTTTATTCTGGGCCCCACTAATTCTGCAGCCTATCATGATCCCATTTTACAGATGACAAAACTGTGGCCTCAGAGCCTTACTCAAGCTCCCAGAGCAAGGTACTACAGAGTTCTCTCTCCAGCCAAGGCAGGCTAACCAGGTCCTGACATACCTCTGAGCCAGCCCTCACTTTCACCCATTAACAGCAGGATAAGGGTCGCCCCTGTAGAACATGATTCCTACAGGGAGCCAGGATCGCTGTTGTCATTTAATGTTTGAACACCAGCCGGGGAGGCCCCCAAGGCCTTCAGATCGGGTCCAAGTCTCAGGGGTGGGCCCTTGACCAGCCACTGCTTCCCACAGGACAACTCAAACTTATACATGGTCATGGAGTACGTGCCCGGCGGGGAGATGTTCTCACACCTACGGCGGATCGGAAGGTTCAGGTAAGCGGGCCACCCCCCATCACATCAGGCTGTCAGGGTGTCCACAGGTGGCAGTGCACGACCAAGCCCCCTGGGAATGCAGAGGAGTCCAGCATACTTCAACATGCAGGTGGTCTCCCAGACCCTGTGGGTTTCTGTTTCCCCTCTGCTGAGGAATATGTGATATTTCAACCACCACAAAACAAAACAGAGCAAACAGGGCAACTTAGGTGTCCAAACTGAAGTTGCTGCCAGGCACGGTGGTTCTCACCAGTAATCCCAGCACTTTGGGAGGCCAAGGTGGGCAGATCACCTGAGGTCAGGAGTTTGAGACCAGCCTGGCCAACATGGCAAAACCCTGTCTCCACTAAAAATACAAAACTGAGCTGGGCATGGTGGTGGGCACCTGTAATCCCAGCTACTTGGGAGGCTGAGGCAGGAGAATCACTTGAACCCAGGAGACAGAGGTTGCAGTGAGCCAAGATCACACCACTGTACTCCAGCCTGGGTGAGAGAGTGACATGCCGTCTCAAAAAAAAAAATTGAAGTTGTTGATTTTGTGCATTTTTTGAGCCCCAAAAGGTGGCATGCATCTGTAGTCCCACTAGTCCTGAGGCTGAGGTGAGAAGATCATTTGAGCTCAAGAATTTGAGACCAGCCTGGGCTGCATAGTGAGGTTTTGTCTCTTTTAAAAAAAAAAAATTGGCTGGGCGCAGTGGCTCGTGCCTGTAATCCTAGAACTTTGGGAGGCCGAGGCGGGCGGATCACGAGGTCAGGAGATCAAGACCATCCTGGTTAACATGGTGAAACCCCGTCTCTACTAAAAAAATACAAAAAAATTAGCCGGGTGTGATGGCGGGCGCCTATAGTCCCAGCTACTCGGGAGGCTGAGGCAGAATGGCGTGAACCCGGGAGGCGGAGTTTGCAGTGAGCCGAGATCGCGCCACTGCACTTCCAGCCTGGGTGACAGAGCGAGACTCCGTCTCAAAAAAATAAAATAAAAATTATACTATTATTTTATTTTATATAGGTGGACAGTTTTATATGTGTAGATTTTAATATATATTTTTATACATAAAATAAATCTATATACAGAAATTTGTAAGTTTAAGATACAGGCTGGGTACTGTGGCTCATGCCCTATAATCCCACTTGGGGAGGCCAAGGTGGGCAGATTGCTAGAGCCCAGGAATTTGAGACCAGCCTTACATAGCAAGACCCCATCTCTACAAAAAAATACAAAAAAAAAAAAAAAAAGTCAGGTGTGGTGGCACATTCCTGTAGTCCCAGCTCCTGGGGAGGCTGAGGTGGGAAGATCACCTGAGTCTGGGAGGTCAAGACTGCATGAGCCCACCTTCATCCCTAGGATGCAAGGCTGGTTCAACATATGCAAAAAAAAAAAAAGACTGCATAAGCCGTGATCACGCTGCTGCAGTCCAGACTGGGTTGTAACCCAGTCAGACCCTGCTGAAAGAAAAAAAAAATTTTTAACTTATAAATTTGTCTTATTAACTTATAAGTTTACATACGTAGTTTTATTTGATTTTATTTTTTGAGACAGAGTTTCACTCTTGTCACCCAGGCTGGAGTGCAGTGGCACGATCTCGGCTCCATGCAAACTCTGCCTCCCGGGTTCAAGTGATTCTCTTGTCTCAGCCTCCCAAGTAGCTGGGACTACAGGTGCATGCCCCCTTGCCTGGCTAATTTTTGTATTTTTAGTAGAGATGGGGTTTCACCATGTTGGCCAGGCTGGTCTCGAACTCCTGACCTCAGGTGATCCGCCCCCCCCGCCTTGGCCTCTCAAGATGCTGGGATTACAGGCATGGGCCACCGCGCTGGCCTTGTAGTTGTATTTTAGATAGATAACTATAGATTCACTTTACATACAACAAAATGCACAGTTCTTCAATGTTCCATGCTACAAGTTTTGACAGTTGTATATAGCTACCTAACCTCCACCCAAAACAGTATATGGAACTTTTCTATCACCTAAGAAAATTCCCTTGAATCCCTTTTTTTTTTTTTTTTTTTTCCAATAACATACAGAGGTGGAGGCCGGGTGCCATGGCTCACGCCTGTAATCCCAGCACTTTGGGAGGCCGAGGCGGGCGAATCACAAGGTCAGGAGTTCGAGACCAGCCTGACCAACATGGTGAAACCCCGTCTCTACTAAAAATATAAAAATTAGCCGGGCGTGGTGGTGCACACCTGTAATCCCAGCTACTCAGGAGGCTGAGGCAAGAGAATCACTTGTTTCCAGGAGGCAAAGGTTGCAGTGAGCCGAGATTATGCCATTGCACTCCAGCCTGGGCAAGAGAGCGAGACTGTCTTAAAAAAAATAAATTAATCAAAAAAAAATATATATATATATATACACACACACACACATATCTACATACATACAGAGGTGAGGTCTTGCCTATATTGCCCAGGCTGGTCTCGAACTCCTGGGCTCAAGCGATCTTCCCACCTCGACCCCCCAAAATGCTGGGATTACAGGGGTGAGCCACCGCACCGGGCCGAATCCCTCTCTTGACACGTCACCTCCCCACCAAAGGCAGTTGTCCTTTCTGACTTCAAACACCGTGCCTTTGTTTTGTCTGGGCGTGGACATGATATAAATGGAATCATTCATGTTCTTTTGTGTCTTCTTTTGCTTAACATAATCAGTTTGAAATGCAGCCACATTGTTGAGTGGATGCATGGGCTGTCCTGTTGGCGGTGGTGGTGGTGAGTGGAATTCCATTGTATGACTATAGCTCAGTCTGTGATTCCATTTTCCTGTGGATGGACCCACAGGCTGTTTCCCATGTCGGGCTATCTAAGAATCAGGTGCCTTGCGTTTCTGACGGCTGGACTGGAGGTGTCTTCCTCTGGGGTAGGCTCTGCAGGGCCACCTGCTGGACCATTTTGGGGCATGACCACTGACGTTCACCTCCCCATTTGTCCCCATCAGTGAGCCCCATGCCCGTTTCTACGCGGCCCAGATCGTCCTGACCTTTGAGTATCTGCACTCGCTGGATCTCATCTACAGGGACCTGAAGCCGGAGAATCTGCTCATTGACCAGCAGGGCTACATTCAGGTGCCCACCAGGCCGGGCGAGGGGCAGCCCTGGGGAAGCCGTGGCCTGGACCCTTCCTCCCTGCCAACTGCCTGTTCTTGTGCCCACAGGTGACAGACTTCGGTTTCGCCAAGCGCGTGAAGGGCCGCACTTGGACCTTGTGCGGCACCCCTGAGTACCTGGCCCCTGAGATTATCCTGAGCAAAGTAGGAGCCTCCCCAGCCCTCCCCTTCCCCTGAGGCCGGCTCTGCTCTCCTGCTCTCGCCTCCTCCTCACCCTGTGCCCCCCCATCTTGCTCCAGGGCTACAACAAGGCCGTGGACTGGTGGGCCCTGGGGGTTCTTATCTATGAAATGGCCGCTGGCTACCCGCCCTTCTTCGCAGACCAGCCCATCCAGATCTATGAGAAGATCGTCTCTGGGAAGGTGAGGTCCGGATGTGGGGACACAGCCCTGGAAGAAACAGACCGTTCCCTGCTCACCCATCCTATTCCCTGGGGAGCCCTGCTTGTTGTCAGAATAATCTAGAAGTTCCTTAAGTCAGGCCAGGTGGTGAAGCTGGACGCGCCGGCCACACTGAGGCCAACACCTCAAGCCCCCTTGCTGTCCAGCCCCAACCCCGCGGTTCCAGAATCCCATGGGCTTCCAAAATCCCGAGCCTCACGGGAACATCTTGGCCACAGAACACAAACCGCCCTGCCAGACGACCCTCCTTTTCGCTCCTCATCCCAGTTAGTGTGAGTTTTCGCAAATTCCAAGGCAGAAAAACGAATGTATTTGGTTCCTGTTCCCAGGTGCTGTCCATAGCCTCACCCAGGATTGCCCTCACTTAGCATTTATAGCCCATGCTTCCTCTCCCAAACCCAGACTTGCCTAACTCTGAGGGTTCAGATGAGGGGTGGTGAAGCCATCTCAGCTCACATCTATGACAGGTGCAAAGTGCCCACCATCCACCAGGCCCCAGAATCCCCATCAGTCACACCCTGAGATAGTGGCACCCTCTGTAGGAGAGGTGAGGAAACAGGCTGGGAAAAGGGATGTGTCTTGGCCAAGATCACACTTTGGTGAGTAGGTAATCACCGTAGGCAATCATTGTAGGCACTGATGGCCGGAGAGAGGTTGGGGACCCCACCTCTGCCCTCAGCTCAACCACCTTGCTGGGAAGACCCGACCATCCCCCGACTTGGTCCAGCATCTCCTACACAGGAGCTTTTGGTTGGCCCGGAGTCATGACACTGTGGTGGGAGCACCCTCAGGCTCAGCCTGGGCCCCAGTCCCAGCTCTGCCACCGACTGGCTTTGAAACTTTGGGGCTGGGTACAATGGCTCACACCTGTAATGCCAGCACCTTGGGAAGTGGAGGCTTGAGGCCAGGAGTTCCAGACCAGCCTGGGCAACATAGCCAGACCCCATCTCTAAAAAAAAAAAAAAAAAAACAAACTGGCCGGGCGCGGTGGCTTACACCTGTAATCCCAGCACTGTGGGAAGCCAAGGCGGGCAGATCACCTGAGGTCGGGAGTTCGAGACCAGCCTGACTAACATGGTGAAACTCCGTCTCTACTAAAAACACACACAAAAAAAATTAGCTGGGTATAGTGGTGGGCGCCTGTAATCCCAGCTACTTGGGAGGCTGAGGCAGGAGAATCACTTGAACCCAGGAGGCGGAGGTTGCAGTGAGCCAAGATCACACCATTGTACTCCAGCCTGGGCAACAGGGCAGGACTCTGTCTCAAAAAAAAAAAAAAAAAAAAAAAACTAAAAATTAGCTGGGCGTGATGGTGCACCCCTGTGTTCCCAGCTCATCGGGAGGGTGAGGCAGGAGGATCGCTTGAGCCCAGAAGTGAGCTGTGAGCTGTGATTGCATCACTGCAGTCTAGCCTGGGTCACAGAGCCAGACCCTGTCTTTTAAAAAAATTCAGGCAAGTGGGGTGCCCCAGCTGGACACATAGCATCACTAAAAGAGAAAGATGAAGGCCAGGCGCGGTGGCTCACACCTATAATCCCAGCATTTTGGGAGGCCAAGGCAGGTGGATCACGAGGTCAGGAGTTCAAGACCAGCCTGGCTAACATGGTGAAACCCTGTCTCTACTAAAAATACAAAAATTAGCTGGGCGTGGTGGCGGGTGCCTGTAATCCCAGCTACTCGGGAGGCTGAGGCAGAGAACTGCTTGAACCCGGGAGACAGAGGTTGTAGTGAGCCGAGATTGCGCCACTGCACTTCAGCCTGGGTGACAGAGCAAGACTCTGTCTCAAAAAAAGGGAAAGATGAGGCATCTGCCACCGGACCAAAAGAAACTGCCAAGAAAATGGCCCAGAGTTGGCCGGGTGTGGTGGCTCACGCCTGTAATCCCAGCACTTTGGGAGGCCGAGGCGGGCGGATCACGAGGTCAGGAGTTTAAGACCAGCCTGACCAACATGGTGAAACCCCGTCTCTACTAAAAATACAAAAATTAGCCGGATATGGTGGCACACACCTGTAATCCCAGCTACTCAGGAGTCTGAGGCAGGAGAATCACTTGAAACCGGGAGGCAGAGGTTGCAGTGAGCTGAGATTGTGCCACTGCACTCCAGCCTGGGCAACAGAGCAAGACTCCATCTCAAAAAAAAAAAAGAAAAAAAGAAAAAAAAATGTCCCAGAGTGGGAAAAAAAAGAAAGAAAAAAACACAGAAGATCCCACAGGAGAAGATGCACATGACTCCCTTCTTTGTAGCATTTTCTAGTTCCCCCGCACCGTCAGTGGTATTATCTCCCTCGTGCAGCCCTGGCATATCTGCCCCACATCTGAGAGGCATGCGCAGGCCCAGAGAGGTTAAGGGCCATGGCCAAGGTCACACAGCGTGTAAGAGGCACAGCAGGAACAAGAAGTCGTTTCTTGCAACTATAACTCCAGTGATGACTTGCATACAAGGCGTGGGCTCAGAGGGTTTGGGGAAAACTTTCAAGAAGAGTTGAGCTGGGCTTTAAAGAACGGAAGAGCCTTAGCTATGCAGAAAGAGAGGAGAGAAAAAGTTTGTCATAAGCAAGAATATTTCAGAAGTCTCCAGACCCCAGCAGAGATGCCTTAAGCAGCAGCAGCAGCAGCTGAGAATGCAAGTTCTAGAGTCCAGTAGACCTGAGATGGAATTGCCCCATCACACACCTCAATGTGACCTAGGAAGAGCTGTTTAACCCAAGCCTCAGTTTCCCCTTCTCTGAAATGGAAATCATCATAGCACTTGCCTTAGAGCAATGGTTCTTAAAAGGGACCCCTTTCCAGCAGCACCATTGCTGGGGAATTTGTTAGAAATGCAGATTCTTGGGCCAGGCACGGTGGCTCACACCTGTAATCCCAACACTTTGGGAGGCCAAGGCAGGTGGATCACCTAAGGTCAAGAGTTCAAGACCAGCCTGACCAATATGGTGAAACCCCGTCTCTACTAAAAATACAAAAATTAGCCAGGTGTCTTGGCGTGAGCCTGTAATCCCAGCTACTCAGGAGGCTGAGACAGGAGAATTCCTTGAACCCAGGAGGCGGAGGTTGCAGTGAGCCCAGATCGCACCACTGCACTCCAGCCTGGGCTACAGAGTGAGGCTATTTTTTTTTTTTTTTTTTTTTTTTTTTCAAAAAAAGAAATGCAGATTCTTGCTGGGTGTGGTGGCTCACGCCTATAATCCTAGCACTTTGGGAGGCCAAAGCAGGAGGATCGCTTGAGCCTAGAAGTTCAAGACCAGCCTGGGCAACGTAGTGAGACCCTGTCTCTACAAAAACTTCTTAAAATAACTAACTCTTGAATTTTTAAAGTTTTTAAAGAAATGCAGATTCTCAGGCCACAGTATCAGACTTCCTAAATTGGAAACTGTAGGGTAGGCTCAAGGAGCTGTTTTACAAGATGCTGGCAGGCACTCTGCTTTGGAGGCCCACACCCAGTAGGACCGTTGGATGGAGAAAGAAGCATCATGGGCTTCCCAAGTTCCAGACCAGCTTCCCACCCTGTCCTTGTACCCCTTCCTCCAGGTGCGCTTCCCTTCCCACTTCAGCTCTGACTTGAAGGACCTGCTGCGGAACCTCCTGCAGGTAGATCTCACCAAGCGCTTTGGGAACCTCAAGAATGGGGTCAACGATATCAAGAACCACAAGTGGTTTGCCACAACTGACTGGATTGCCATCTACCAGAGGAAGGTGGGCCTCCCCTCCTTAAGCCTGCTGAGGGTTTGGGAGCAGGCCAAGAGTCAGGGAGGACAGCCAATAGAGAAATAGAGAAGAGAACACAGGTTCAGGAGCAACCTAGAGTAGAGAGCTTAGAGCAGTGGGGTCTAGAAATGGGATTCTGGGGTCATTTGGCCATTCCATGACCTTGTGCAACAGATGCCTCTCTCTGGGAAGTAATTTCCCCTTTGATGAGTTGCTACATTAAGAGTTTCGGGCTGTTAAGAGGAATCCATAACCTAATGGTAAGCACAGGCCTGAGTCAGAGTAAATATCTCTTGAATGTTAGGCCATTCGCATTTATTGTTGTAATAATGATTATGTTGAATGCTGAGGTCTGGGTGATTCTTGATCCCTCTCCAGGTGGAAGCTCCCTTCATACCAAAGTTTAAAGGCCCTGGGGATACGAGTAACTTTGACGACTATGAGGAAGAAGAAATCCGGGTCTCCATCAATGAGAAGTGTGGCAAGGAGTTTTCTGAGTTTTAGGGGCATGCCTGTGCCCCCATGGGTTTTCTTTTTTCTTTTTTCTTTTTTTTGGTCGGGGGGGTGGGAGGGTTGGATTGAACAGCCAGAGGGCCCCAGAGTTCCTTGCATCTAATTTCACCCCCACCCCACCCTCCAGGGTTAGGGGGAGCAGGAAGCCCAGATAATCAGAGGGACAGAAACACCAGCTGCTCCCCCTCATCCCCTTCACCCTCCTGCCCCCTCTCCCACTTTTCCCTTCCTCTTTCCCCACAGCCCCCCAGCCCCTCAGCCCTCCCAGCCCACTTCTGCCTGTTTTAAACGAGTTTCTCAACTCCAGTCAGACCAGGTCTTGCTGGTGTATCCAGGGACAGGGTATGGAAAGAGGGGCTCACGCTTAACTCCAGCCCCCACCCACACCCCCATCCCACCCAACCACAGGCCCCACTTGCTAAGGGCAAATGAACGAAGCGCCAACCTTCCTTTCGGAGTAATCCTGCCTGGGAAGGAGAGATTTTTAGTGACATGTTCAGTGGGTTGCTTGCTAGAATTTTTTTAAAAAAACAACAATTTAAAATCTTATTTAAGTTCCACCAGTGCCTCCCTCCCTCCTTCCTCTACTCCCACCCCTCCCATGTCCCCCCATTCCTCAAATCCATTTTAAAGAGAAGCAGACTGACTTTGGAAAGGGAGGCGCTGGGGTTTGAACCTCCCCGCTGCTAATCTCCCCTGGGCCCCTCCCCGGGGAATCCTCTCTGCCAATCCTGCGAGGGTCTAGGCCCCTTTAGGAAGCCTCCGCTCTCTTTTTCCCCAACAGACCTGTCTTCACCCTTGGGCTTTGAAAGCCAGACAAAGCAGCTGCCCCTCTCCCTGCCAAAGAGGAGTCATCCCCCAAAAAGACAGAGGGGGAGCCCCAAGCCCAAGTCTTTCCTCCCAGCAGCGTTTCCCCCCAACTCCTTAATTTTATTCTCCGCTAGATTTTAACGTCCAGCCTTCCCTCAGCTGAGTGGGGAGGGCATCCCTGCAAAAGGGAACAGAAGAGGCCAAGTCCCCCCAAGCCACGGCCCGGGGTTCAAGGCTAGAGCTGCTGGGGAGGGGCTGCCTGTTTTACTCACCCACCAGCTTCCGCCTCCCCCATCCTGGGCGCCCCTCCTCCAGCTTAGCTGTCAGCTGTCCATCACCTCTCCCCCACTTTCTCATTTGTGCTTTTTTCTCTCGTAATAGAAAAGTGGGGAGCCGCTGGGGAGCCACCCCATTCATCCCCGTATTTCCCCCTCTCATAACTTCTCCCCATCCCAGGAGGAGTTCTCAGGCCTGGGGTGGGGCCCCGGGTGGGTGCGGGGGCGATTCAACCTGTGTGCTGCGAAGGACGAGACTTCCTCTTGAACAGTGTGCTGTTGTAAACATATTTGAAAACTATTACCAATAAAGTTTTGTTTAAAAAAAAAGTGTCGCTGGTGTTCTCGACTTCGATCACCCACCCACACACCCCCAGGGGGTTGGAAAGGGAATTTCGGACCCCAGCGTGCAGGCCGATCAGGTCCTGGCTTGAAGTCCTTGTAACCAGGGTTTAGCTGAAATTCCGGCACTCCTTCGGCCCCGCAGGAGAAACGAGCGTCAAACTGCCCTTTGACCCCAGATTCGGGGTCCCCAAATCTGCGGCGCGCCCCCTCGGCGTCCAGCCCGGGACCGAGAGGGCGCTCTAGGGAGGCGCTGGGGCTGGCGCGCCAGGAGGCCGAGCGGCGGCGGGGGCGGCCCTGGCAGGGGGAGTAGAAGGGGGAGAGGGTGCGCGCCCCCCTTCCCGCATCCTCAGCGCCGGGCCAGGCGCGCCTGAGGGACGCGGGGGCGGCGGCAGCAGGAGGGTCCCCGCAGCACCCTGCGAGCGCGGCAGCCCCGGCCCGCGGGCGGCGAGTTCCCGGTAAGTGCGGTCCCGAGAGCGGAGCGCGCTGGAGAGGCGTGGAGAGGGGGGCTGGGCGCCGGGGACGTCTGGGTCCCGCGCCCAATGGCTGGAGGGCGGCCGAGCGCCGCCCGCCCGCCCTGCCCGCCCCCTCTCCACTCCCCCCGGCACTCCCCTCCCCCTCCCCCGCCCGCCGCTTTCCCCCGCCCCCGCCCCGGGCCAACTCCGCGGCGCCTCCTTAAAAAGCGCGCGGGAGTTGTAAGGGGGGGCCGGAGCGAGCCGGAGTGAGCGAGAGCGCAGGGTAAAGGGGGCGGGCGGGGGGCCCGGGCTCCACCTTAAAAGCGGGCGCGTGGGGGTGGGAGGGAGGAAGGCGGGCGGCGGGGAGGAGGGAGGGAGGGAAGGAAGGGGGGCCGGAGTGTCCCGGGCGCAGGGCGCGCGTGCGGCGGCGGCGGCGGCGGGGAGGGGCCGGCCGCGCCGCGCTCCCCTCCTCCCCCTCGCATCCCCGGCCCCGCGCGCGCCCAGCAGAAGCGGGTCTGTGTGTGCGTGCGTGCGAGTGAGTGAGTGTGTGCATATTTTTTTCTCTCTTTTCTTTCTCTCTCACTGTTTTTTCCTCTCTCTCTCTCTCCCTCTCTCTCTCTTTTTTTTTTTTTTTTTTTTGCAAAGAAACAGCAGCGCCGCCGCCGCTCCGCCGAGGCGCTGCGCCCCCCGGGGGGGGAGGCGGAGGAGGCGGGCAGCGGCGGAGGGAGGGGAGCCGGGGAGGGGGGCGCCGCGCTGGGAGGGAGGCAGCGCGCACGGTGCAGCCGGGCCGGGCGGGAGGCATGGCGGGGCCCCCGGCCCTACCCCCGCCGGAGACGGCGGCGGCCGCCACCACGGCGGCCGCCGCCTCGTCGTCCGCCGCTTCCCCGCACTACCAAGAGTGGATCCTGGACACCATCGACTCGCTGCGCTCGCGCAAGGCGCGGCCGGACCTGGAGCGCATCTGCCGGATGGTGCGGCGGCGGCACGGCCCGGAGCCGGAGCGCACGCGCGCCGAGCTCGAGAAACTGATCCAGCAGCGCGCCGTGCTCCGGGTCAGCTACAAGGGGAGCATCTCGTACCGCAACGCGGCGCGCGTCCAGCCGCCCCGGCGCGGAGCCACCCCGCCGGCCCCGCCGCGCGCCCCCCGCGGGGCCCCCGCCGCCGCCGCCGCCGCCGCGCCGCCGCCCACGCCCGCCCCGCCGCCACCGCCCGCGCCCGTCGCCGCCGCCGCCCCGGCCCGGGCGCCCCGCGCGGCCGCCGCCGCCGCCACAGCGCCCCCCTCGCCTGGCCCCGCGCAGCCGGGCCCCCGCGCGCAGCGGGCCGCGCCCCTGGCCGCGCCGCCGCCCGCGCCAGCCGCTCCCCCGGCGGTGGCGCCCCCGGCCGGCCCGCGCCGCGCCCCCCCGCCCGCCGTCGCCGCCCGGGAGCCGCCGCTGCCGCCGCCGCCACAGCCGCCGGCGCCGCCACAGCAGCAGCAGCCGCCGCCGCCGCAGCCACAGCCGCCGCCGGAGGGGGGCGCGGTGCGGGCCGGCGGCGCGGCGCGGCCCGTGAGCCTGCGGGAAGTCGTGCGCTACCTCGGGGGCAGCGGCGGCGCCGGCGGTCGCCTAACCCGCGGCCGCGTGCAGGGGCTGCTGGAGGAGGAGGCGGCGGCTCGAGGCCGTCTGGAGCGCACCCGTCTCGGAGCGCTTGCGCTGCCCCGCGGGGACAGGCCCGGACGGGCGCCGCCGGCCGCCAGCGCCCGCCCGTCTCGCAGCAAGGTGAGCGCGCCGGGGAGCGGGGGCGCCGCGCGGTGGGCAGGTGCGGGCGAAGTTGGTGGCGGGGGCGCGAGTCCCGGGAGGAACTGGGTGGCGGGTGGCTGGGGCTTTGCGCGCGTTTCCTGCGGGCTCGGTGCGTGGTGACCTTGGCAAGTGATTGAATCTCCCGGAGCCTCAGTTTCCTCCGCTGTAAACGCGGTTTAATAACAGTAGCGACCCCTTGGGGTTGTTGAGCGAGTTTAGTAAGATTTGGTTGTCGAGGGCTTTAGTTAACACAGAGCCTGGCACGGAGTGAATGCGTAAAAGTTAGTCCGTATTGTTCTTAAAGGTGGAATCGGTTCCTCCTCCCCACCGCCCGGACGCCACAGTCAGGGTCTGGGATTAGAACAGCTACTAATTTTGCATGCTTCTCTCCTCGGCTCCAGAGAGGTGGAGAAGAGCGAGTACTTGAGAAAGAAGAGGAAGAAGATGATGATGAAGATGAAGATGAAGAAGATGATGTGTCAGAGGGCTCTGAAGTGCCCGAGAGTGACCGTCCTGCAGGTGCCCAGCACCACCAGCTTAACGGCGAGCGGGGACCTCAGAGTGCCAAGGAGAGGGTCAAGGAGTGGACCCCCTGCGGACCGCACCAGGGCCAGGATGAAGGGCGGGGGCCAGCCCCGGGCAGCGGCACCCGCCAGGTGTTCTCCATGGCAGCCATGAACAAGGAAGGGGGAACAGGTAAGGATCCCTCTGGGTGGGGAAGAGTGCTAGGTGGAGAGGAACTCAGCCCGAAGACAAAGCCAAAGACAGGTGTTTTTTTCCTTCCCAGCTTCTGTTGCCACCGGGCCAGACTCCCCGTCCCCCGTGCCTTTGCCCCCAGGCAAACCAGCCCTACCTGGGGCCGACGGGACCCCCTTTGGCTGTCCGTAAGTTGGGGTATTGGAGACATGGGGGTGCTGCTCAGGTGTGTGGTACAGCCAGAGAGACATCCGTGTTCACTGGTGTCTGTTTGTTTTGATGCAGTCCCGGGCGCAAAGAGAAGCCATCTGATCCCGTCGAGTGGACCGTGATGGATGTCGTCGAATATTTTACTGAGGCTGGATTCCCGGAGCAGGCGACAGCTTTCCAAGAGCAGGTGAGTTTCCAGCCCAGGACTACACACTGACAGACACAGAGGGCCTCCCTGGGATGTGCCCTGATCCCGGCTCTCTCTGTTCCTGTCCCACCCAGGAAATTGATGGCAAATCTTTGCTGCTCATGCAGCGCACAGATGTGCTCACCGGCCTGTCCATCCGCCTCGGGCCAGCCCTGAAAATCTACGAGCACCACATCAAGGTGCTTCAGCAAGGCCACTTTGAGGATGATGACCCCGATGGCTTCTTAGGCTGAGCGCCCAGCCTCACCCCTGCCCCAGCCCATTCCGGCCCCCATCTCACCCAAGATCCCCCAGAGTCCAGGAGCTGGACGGGGACACCCTCAGCCCTCATAACAGATTCCAAGGAGAGGGCACCCTCTTGTCCTTATCTTTGCCCCTTGTGTCTGTCTCACACACATCTGCTCCTCAGCACGTCGGTGTGGGGAGGGGATTGCTCCTTAAACCCCAGGTGGCTGACCCTCCCCACCCAGTCCAGGACATTTTAGGAAAA